>NC_000004.12:97709259-98012290 GCF_000001405.40 Homo sapiens | reverse complement strand
ACAGAGACCTCAGAAATCACACCACACATCTACAACCATCTCATCTTTGACAAACCTGACAAAAACAAGCAATGGGGAAAGGATTCCCTATTTAATAAGTGGTGCTGGGAAAACTGGCTAGCCATATGCAGAAAACTGAAACTGGACCCCTTATGCATTATACAAAAATTAACTCAAGATGGATTAGACACTTAAATGTAAAACTTCAAACCATAAAAGCCATAGAAGAAAACCTAGACAATATCATTCAGGACCTTGGCATGGACAAAGATTTCATGACGAAAATGCCAAAAGCAATTGAAACAAAAGCCGGACAAATGGGATCTATTTAAACTAAAGAGCTTCTGCACAGCAAAATAAACTATCATCAGAGTGAACAGGCGACCTACAGAATAGGAGAAAAATGTTGTAATCTACCCATCTGACAAAGGTCTAATATCCAGAATCTACAAGGAACTTAAACAAATTTACAAGAAAAACAAACAATCCCATCAAAAAGTGGGCAAAGGGTATGAACAGACACTTCTCAAAAGAAGACATTTATGCAGCCAACAAACATATGAAAAAAGCTCAACATCACTGATCATTAGAGAAATGAAAATCAAAACTACAATGAGATACCATCTTATGCCAGTCAGAATGGTGATTATTAAAAAGTCAAGAAACAACAGATGGTGGTGAGGCTGTG
Source organism: Homo sapiens (assembly GCF_000001405.40). Classification (NCBI taxonomy): domain Eukaryota; kingdom Metazoa; phylum Chordata; class Mammalia; order Primates; family Hominidae; genus Homo; species Homo sapiens. The sequence continues at coordinate 98,011,602 of NC_000004.12, read as the reverse complement.
GAAAAGTAGGAATGCTTTTACGCTGTTGGTGGGAAAGTAAATTAGTTTAACCATTGTGGGAGACAGTGTGGCAATTCCTCAAGGATCTAGAACCAGAAATACTATTTGACCCAACAATCCCATTACTGATTATATATCGAAAGGCATATAAATCATCCTATTATAAAGACATATGCACACATATATTTACTGCAGCAGTATTTACAATAGCAAAGACATGGAACCAACCCAAATGCCAATCAATTATAGACTGGATAAAAAAAATGTGGCACATATACACCATGGAATACTATGCAGCCTTGAAAAGGAATGAGAACATGACCTTTGCCGGGTCTTGGATGAAGCTGGTAGCCATCATCTTCATTAAACTAACACAGGAACAGAAAACAAAACACCTCATGTTCTCACTCATAAACAGGAGTTGAACAATGAGAACTCATGGACATAGGGAGGGGAAAAACACACACTGGGGCCTGTCTGGGGATAGAGCACAGGGGGAGGGAGAGAATCAGGACAAATAGCTAATGCATGTGGGGCTTTAAAACTAGATGATGGGTTGATCAGTGCAGCAAACCACTAAGGCATGTATCAAACCTGCACGTTCTGCACATGTATCCCAGAACTTAAAGTCAAATAAAAAAATTACAAAGTTATATAACATCAATAATATAAAATGTGGGGGTAGGATAACTTAAAATATTGAATTTTTATATGCAGTTGAAGTTATGTTCTTATTAGCTTAAAATAAACTGTTATAACTTCAGACATTTTATGTAAGCCTCATGATAACTACAAAGGTAAACAGATGTACACAATATAAAGCAAAAGGATTCGAAGCATAGCACTGCAAAAAATCATCAAATCAAAAAGAAAGACAGCAAGAGAGAAAGAAACAATGGATTCTACAAAACAACCAGAAAAAAATCAGCAAAATAGCAATAGTATATTCTTACCTATCAATGATTACTTTAAATGTAAGAGTATTAAATTCTTCAACCAAAACACATATAGTGGCTGAATGATTGAAACAAAAAACCACAAACCAAGATCCAAGTATATGCTGCCTACTAGAGGCACACTTTAGGTTTAAGGACACACATACATTGAATGGGAAGCGTTGGAAAGTATAATCCATGCAAATACTAAACAAAGTAGAGCAAGAGTGCCTCTCTTTATATCAGGCAAAACAGACATTAAGTAAAAAACTGTCACAAGAGACAAAGAAGGTCATTATATAATGATAAAAGGGCCAGGTCAATGAAGAAATTAAGAAGGCAATTAAAACGTTTCTTGAAACAAATGAAAATGGAAATACAGCATACTAAAATCTATGGGATACAGTGAAAGCAGTGTCAAGAGGGAATTTTATATCAATAAATACCTACATCAAAATAGTAGAACGACTTAAATAACTTAAAAATGAAGCTCGGGGATCTAGAAAATTAAGAAAAAAACCAAAAGTTAGTAGGAAAGAAATTATGGAGATCAGAGGGCAAATAAATGAAATCATGACTAAGAAAATGCAGAAGATCAATGAAATGAAATGAAAAGTTGGATTTTTGAAAAGATAAAATCAACACACATTTAGCCAGACTAACTAAGAAAAAATGATAGGAGACTCAAATAAATATAATCAGAAATGAAAAAGACATAACAACTGAGACCACAGAAATCCAAAGAATCATTAGAGGTTATTATGAATAACTATATGCCAACAAACTGAAAAACCTAGAAGAAATGGATAAATTCCTGCACACATACAACCCTGAGATTGAACTATGAATGATAAAGGGGCCAACTCATCAAAAGGATGTGATAATAGTAAAATTATCTGCACTCAACATTGGAGCACATAATTTGATATTAACAGATATCAAGGGAGAAATAGGCAGCAATACAGTAATAGTAAGGGACTTCAATACCACACTTTCAACAATGGATATATCATTATCATTCAGTCAGAAATTCAGTAAGGAAACATTGGATTTGAACTGTACTTTAGGCCAAATGGACCTAACAGACATATACAGAACATTCCGTTCAACAGCAGCAGACTACATATTTGTCACAAGCACACATGAATAATTTTCCAGAATTGATCATATGTTGGACTACAAAACAAGACTTAAAAAATTAAAGAGTGAAACTATATTAAGTATCTTTTTGAATCATAATGATATGAAAGTAGACATCAATGACTGGAGGAAAACTGGAAAATTCACAGATATATGAAAATTGAATGACACACTTCTGAACAACTAACAGGCCAAAGAAGAAATTAAAAGGGAAATAAAAAGATATCTTGAGATAAAAAAATGAAAAAAACTAACATATCAAAATTTATAAGATGCAGTGAATGCAATTCTAAGAGGAAAGTTTATAGCAATAAACGCCTACATCAAAAAAGAATGATCTGAAATAAACAAGCCCAAAGTTAACAAAGAAAGGGAAAGTAAAGATCAGAACAGAACACTGAAATAGAGACTAGAAAATTAATAGAAAGGATAAATGAAAATAAGAGTTGGGTTTTTAAAAAAAGATAAACAAAATTGACAAACCTGGGCTACACTGAGAAACAGAATGTACTCAAATAAAATTATAAATGAAAGAGGATACACTATAACTGATACCATAGAAATTCAAAGGATTACAAGACACTATTGTGAACAGTTGTATACCAACAAATTGGATAACCTAGAACAGATTGATAGCTTCCTGGAATATACAACTTACCAAGACTGAATAATGAAGAAATAGGTAATTGAACAGACCAATAATGAGTAAGCAGCACACAGTTGGTTCATGCTTTTTTAATTCACTCCACCAATTTAAGTGGAGAATTTGGTACATTTATATTCAAGGTTAAAATTGATATGTGAGGCTTTATTCCTCTCATAATGTTGTTACCTAGTTGTTTTGTGGAGTCTTTTTTTTTTCTTGTTTATCTTTGTGGTTTGGAGGAGTTCTGTCATGTTATAATTTTATTTCTTTATCTTTCTCCTTTGTCTAGTGTTTTATAAAACCTGTGAGTTTTTATAAAACTATTTATAAAACCTGTGAGTTTTTATAAAACTATTTATAAAACCTGTGAGTTTTTATACTTCTGTTTGTTTTTATGATGGTGAGTATTGACTTTTTGTTTTCATGTTTAGAACTCCTTTGAGCATTTCTTGTAGGACCAATCTAGTGGGGACCAGTTCCCTCAACATTTGCTTCTCTGGGAAGGACTTTTTTCTCCTTCATTTGTGAAGGTTATTCTGACAGGCTGTAAAATTTATGCTTGATAGCTTTTTTTTTTAATTTCAGAATTCTGAAAATAAGTTCCCAATCTCTTCTAGCTTGTAAGGTTTCTGCTGAGAAGTCTGCTGTTAGTTTGATGGGCTTTCCTTCATATGTGACTAGATGCTTTTCTCTTGCTGATTTTAGGGATTTTTTCTCCACAATGACAGCCTGATAACTGTATGGCATGATGAAGTTCATCTTGTAATTTAATTACTGGTGTTCTTTGGGCCTCTTCTATCTGGATGTTTACATATCTTGGAAGTCTAGGGAAGTTTCATCAATTATTTCTTTAAATAGATTTTCCAAATATTTTGCTTTATTTCTCCCTTGGGAATACCAAGGATTCTTAAGTTTAGACACTTTATTTAGTCCTATACTTCTCAAAGGCTTTGTTTATTGTTTTTATTTTTGTCTGACTGGATTAATTCAAAAGACCTGTCTTCAAGTTCTGAAATTCTCTTCTGCTTGATTTAGCCTATTATGGAAGTTTTCAACTATATTTTATAATTTTTTAATGCATTTTTTATTTCCAGAAGTTTTATTTTTTTTTCCTTAAAGGATATCTATCTGTTTGGTAAATTTCTCATTCATATTCTGAATTGATCTTCTGATTTCTTTGTATTGATTTTAAGATTACTCTTGGATCTCATTGAGTTTCATTAACATCAATACTTTGAATTCTTTATCTTGCATTTCACAAATTTTATTTCAGTTAGGATCCATTGCTAGAGAGTTAGTGTAATCCTTTGGGGTGTGTCATAACACTCTGCTTTTTCATATTCCAGTATTTTTATGCTTATACTTCTCCTCTAGAGAAGCAGTCACTTCTTATTTTTGAATTCACTTCCATTGTGACAGGACTTTGTTTCCTTTAGGGTGTGATTATAATGTATGCTGAGTAGGGGTGTTTGGCTTTGCTTCTGGGTATGTTTGGTGGTGAAGAATCTATGAATTTTTTGATTATAGGTAGACTTAGTGTGATGGCTTTCTCAAATATTGGTTGTAGTGGTGGTGTACCAGGCGGGTGAGCAGGCTCACAGCTTCCTGAGAAGCTGGAGTGGCAGAGGTCACTGGATTGTGTAGACTGACCTCTAGGACAGTAGGTCACACTTGCAGGTAAGATCTGGCTGCAGTGGTGCAATAGGTTTTATGTTTGATCTTTGTTTATCAGAAAAAGCACTCTGGTGTCCCAGGCATAGGCTTGGCTGTGGAACACTCAGTGTTTGGGTTTTACATTCAGCCTTGGAGCAGGGGGTGAAGCTGTACAGAGCTGGACCAGGCAAATCCATACTCGAGTTCCCCAGTGGCAGCTGAGGGAATTGGCTCTGACAGGGATCTGGGGGGCAGTTGCCAGATGCCTGGAGATAAGCCTAGGTGAGGACTGGAGAAACTGCTTCTGCACCAATTTCTTTGCACAGGAAGGGAAGGATGGCCCAAATGCATGGTCCATGTGAACAGGTGTGGGACCCACCTTTTTCTCACACTTCGGAACTGATTGGGCTCAGTTCCCAGTCCTGACCAAGGGAGTGAGTTGGGAAGCTCAGTAGAGTCATACACAGTCTGGCTTTAGATCACAAAGCTATCCTTGGCCTCAAATCTTGCTACCTAGGTAAAATCAGAGCTTGTCAGCAAATCTCTTCCTGTTCTTGTCCTGTGAAGTGGTAGAGTCCAATTACAGTGTCACAGCTGGAATCCATACTCATCTCTCAGTTCTGAGTGTGGAGTCCTCTCCCCTGCTCCAGACCCAACACTCCAATCTCCAGCCTGAGACTCTAATGCCAGTGGCAGTTGCTGCTGCTAGGTTGCTAAATTCTTCCCAGCTTGATATGAGGCTGGATTGAGAATGATTTCCTCCTATCAGTTTCCAGATCTGAGAACATGCATAGGGAACCTCCTAGTGCCTTCACTTCTCACAGTCTCTCACAGCCTTTACTTCTCACAGCCTCTCCTCATGTTAGCTTTAGGTATTGGGAGAGACAATGTGCTTTCCTGTGGCCTGGGTTGCACTGTTCCCCAGTGGAAGGGTGAATCACAGAGGGACACTCTCTTCCTCTTTCCTCTTTGGAACTTTACTCACAGTTCTCAGCCATATCCTGTTGTGCAGGCTGTCTGACCAACTTCTCTTCCCCGTGATGTAAAGTGTCCTTTACTTTTTGGTTGAATTCCCATGATCCTTCATGAATAAAGTTTCACAGTGTGAATCACTACACTACCAGGTGGGTGAAGCATGCTGGAGAACCTTCTAATCTGCCATCTTGGAAGAAAAACAATATTGAGTAAGGAAATTGAATAATTGATTAAAAACCTCTCAACAAAGAAAAGCACAGGACCTGATGGTTTAATTGGTGAATGATAGTAAACATTTAAAGAGTTAACACCAATCCTTCTTAAACTCTTTCAAAAAATGGAAAAAGAGGGAACCATTTTCAACTCATTTTGTTAGCCCAGAATTATCCTGATAGCAAAGCCAGACAAGGACACTATAAAAAAGAATATTACAGGCTAACATTTCTGATGAACAGAGATATAAAACTTCTCAACAATATACTATCAAGTCAAATTAAATAACACACCAAATGAATTATTCACAATGAACAAGTGGGATTTATTTTGGATGCAAGGATGGTTCAACATATTCAAATTAATAAATAGGATATATCACATTACAAGAATAAAGGAAAAAAGCCACAGTATCTCAATAGATGCATAAAAAGTGTTGGACAAAATTCAGCAAAAGTCTCAGCAAATTAAGTGTAGAAGGAATGTACTTCAACATAAGAAAGGCTATATATGACAAACTCACAGCTAACATTATAGTCAATAGTGAAAAGCTGAAAACGTTTTTTCAAGATCCAGAACTAGACAAGGATATTCATTATCATGACTTCTATTTAATGTAGTACTGGAAGTCCTATTCAGAGCTGTTTGTTCTTTAGAGCATGTGATGATTAATACTAAGTGTCAACTTGATTGGATTGAAGGATGCAAAGTATTGTTCCTAGGTGTGTCTGTGAGGGTGTTGCCAAAGGAGATTAACATTTGAGTCACTGGACTAGGAGAGGCAGACCCACCCCTAATCTGGGTGGGCATCATCTAATCAGCTGCCAGTGTGGCTAGAAAAAAGGAGGCAGAAGAAGTTGGAAAGATTTGACTTGCTGAGTCTTCTGGCCTTCTTCTTTCTCATGTGCTGGACGCTTCCTGCCCTTGAACGTCAGACTGAAAGTTCTTCAGGTTATTGACCTTGGTCTGGGCAATAATTTTTTTTTAGCTATTATCCCCTAAACAGGAGCAAACAAAACTAAAAATAAGCAAATGGGATTGCAATAAACTAAAAAGCTTTTTTTTTTTTTAACAGCAAAGAAAATAGTCAACAGAGTGAAGGGACAACCTACAAAATAGGAAAAATATTTTTAAACCATACATCTGATAAGGGCTTAATATCCAAAATATAGAAAGAACTCAAATTGATGGCAACAAAACAAATAACCTGATTTTTAAAATGGGCAAATAACCTGAATAGACTTTTCTCAAAAGAAGAAATACAAATGGCCAACAGTTATATGAAAAAATGCTTAACATCACTAATCATCAGTGACATGGAAATCAAAAGCAAAATGAGATATCATCTCCCACCTCTTAGAAAAGCTATTATCAAAAAGTCAAATGACAGCAGGTGTTGGGAAGGATGTTGAAAAAAGAGAATGCTTATATGTTGTTGTTAGGAACATAAATTGGTACAGCCGTTATGGGAAACAGTATGGAAGTTTTTTAAAATATAAAAATCGAACTACCATATGATCTGGAAATCCCACTTCTGAGTATATAGACAAAGGAGATGAAATCAGTATGTTGAAGACATATCTGTACTCCCATGTTCATTGCAATATGATTCACAATAGTCAAGATATGGAATCAACCTAATGTTCATCAATGGATGACTGGATAAAGAAAGTGTGACACACATACACACACAGAGGAATATTATTCAGACTTAAAAAAGAAGGAAATCCTATTATTTGTGATAACATGGATGAACATGGAGGACATTATGCTAAGTGAAATAAGACAGACACAGAAAGATGCATGATCTCACTTACGTGAAATATTAAAAAGTTCAAGAAGCAGAGAGTAGAATAGTGGTTGTTAGGGGCTGGGAGGTGGAGAATATGGGTCAAAGGATACAACATTACAGGTATGCAAGATGAATAAGTTCTGAAGATCTAATGTTATAGTATAGTAACTCTATTAATTCAGTTTACACTTGAAAGTTGCTAAAAGAGTAGCTCTTAATTGTTCTCACCACACACACACATACACACACACACGTAGTTATGTGAGGTGATGTACATGTTAATTAGCTTGATTATTATAATCATTTCACAATGTTTTCATACATCAAAACATCACATTGTACATCTTAAATGTATAGAATTTAAAATTTGTCTATTATACTTCAATAAAGATAGAAAAAATAATAAAAACTCCAAACCTATATGCCTTCTGATTTTAAAAATTGAATTTGAAACAAAAAGTGAAAAGTATGAATACATTCAGATTGCATTCAGTATGTTGGGGTTTTAAAGTATGGATAATGAATAAATGAATAATTGATACAACCATTTGACCACATTGAAGTAAGCATGTTGTCCAGAAAACACACGATCATATGAGCTTTTGAAATGAAATATAAATCTAATGCCAGTAAGAAGATTATGATTTCATGTAGTCTTTTTAAGTGGCATATATTATTATCCTGAGTGGCCTGAACTCATTACCTCCAAGCCAAAATATTGTGCTTTTAATGTTGAGAATAGTTTCTCAGGATTTTTTAAAACAATCAAACTCTAATACAAATAGCTTGAGTCTGGAATTTGGACTTTTTCCCAGCTCAATGTGTTTTTTTCGTCTTTGGAGAAAAAAAAAACTGATGATGTATTATTTAGCTAATTTGTAAGCCAATTCCAAATGTTCCAACAGAGCATGAGCAACTAATTTCCAGGACTGAAAACCACTTAAGAGTGGATTAGAAATGTAGTCAGTGTTGTCTTCCAAGTTGAAACACCCAACCTTCCAGCTTCTGCCTGTAAAATATTACAACTTTTCATCTGTTAGAGTGCTGACAGTAGTCTTTGAGCCAGCACTCCATAATTTCTGGGCCATTTATGTTTAATATGAATATCCAGACTTATCAGACAGCCATTAAACTGTTGGCACTATTTGTAGTGATCAATGATTGTGAATTCAGAATTTTCTAATTAAGTAGAAGCTAGCAAGAGAAATGAACTGCAAATATAACCTAAATTATAAATTAAGCTGCCCACCATTGAGTTGCATATAGCTGCCTTGGTGAAAGACTGCAAACAATATTATCCTTCTCATTGAAATAAAACTTATTTTTATGCTAATTTAAAAATGTATGGCTGGTTTTTATTACCAAAATTAAGAAACATTTTTTAAAAAGTACTTAAATTGATGATCTTCATGTGCACTAATTACCCATTAATGAGTGTGCACTTTAAAAAACTTTAAAAAACGCTGTTATTAAAGACATAAGCAAAGAATTTCCTTCATCTTCAGTGTTAATTGCCTTGTTGTTTGTCTTAATGTTCTTAGGTAATTACAAGTAGTCTCAATTTAGGGAATGAGAATTTCTCCATCATTTTCTTGACCCTACATCCATATGAAATCCATATTGACATTCCAGCACACAGAGTCAGAGAAAGTTCTTATTCTGGTACTTTTATTACTTGATGACCTCATCTTCATTTTAATAAGATGAATAAGATGACCTTATTCATCTGCTTGAGGGGTCTATACATCTGGCCAGCTGAGCTACTTTCCTACTTCTTTTTCTGATTGCCATTGCCCATCCTCCGTATACTTCTTTGAGCAGAAGATATGGGAAATTCTAATTTATTATGTTCACTAACTTGTGAATATAATAGGAAGTTAGGTATTATGTTTTATAACAATGAGAATTGCAAAGACAAAATCAGTCTTTTTACGCTATCAGGTATTATTTGATGTCACTCAGTATTCTTATTACCACATAATAATTTACTTAAATAAATATGAGTAATTGGGCCCTTTTCCTATACAGCACTTCAGAGATTTCTTCAGACCAATGCAATCCTAGTTTCAGAGCTATTAGTGTGTGTAAAGATCATGAAACCCTGCTACTACTTATAAACATGGACATTATAATTTCATCATGATAATACTATAACTAGGCTTAGAAAATGCCAACTCATTGATCAAACCTCTTTTAGACTTTGATTTCACTAGATCTGGAGTTATGTATATGGAGTAATATATATTTTTTTGTCAGCCCTTATGTCATCCACGTAGAAGAATATTTTTAAATATACTTATACTCTAAGATATTAAAGAGCTAAGTGGGGAATCTGGTGGCTTATGGGCTGAATTTAATCCACAGGTGTATTTTTATAGTTATTTCATAGTTGCTAAAAATTGAGTTAGTTGCCAATGTTTGTAACTTGTGAAATTTCACATACAAATCCAGACTTCCAGTTTGACTTAAAAGTGAACAAAAGAATTTAATAATAGCCAGTTGGGGCTGATTAAATGCTGCTCCTGAGGATAAGCATGAGTGATTTCCTGTACGCCGTTTTCCATTTAGCACTTATTTGCCTGCCTTGTCCTAGCAGGCATTTGAATTCTCTGTCTTTGCAAGTGTAATAATAATTAATCTTATATGGGTACTTTAGCTTCATTTGAGATTTATAACCCTTAACATTATTTCATTTGGATGTGTTTAATTGTCTGTGTATTATTCATTAAGTGATAATGTTTCTTTTCCTTTTAAAAAGAGGAATTTGGACTTGTAAAGAGCAGGAAGACTATACTGACATTAAGGAACTCTGTGGAAGTTCACGTTGCATTGCATAGTAATAAATGTTAATGAACTCCGAACATTTACATAGCACCATTTTACCAAAATAGACATTATAAATCTTGACTGCTACTAGATAGTGTACCACATAGGGTATAGTAATTACAGGAAACCTATACAAGCTATTTGTATAGATTTCCTCTTGGTGAAAAAATTTTGAGTACAAAAGCCTTATATAATTCTTGATTATTGTGGTGAGATTTTCAGGATGGCCACATTTACTCATATTTACTTTACTTCAGAACTTGGGAGTGTAGCTTCAGATTTACGATATTAAATTTTTGACTCAGCTGAATTACTAATACCAGTGGTGACACAAATTGTTACTCAGCAGATGTAATACGGAATCAAAGTGGCTTTTCATCAGTTTTACTCAATTTCATGTTTGGTTAAAACTGCATAAGACAACCATCAACTCCAAAGCAATACTAATATACAGTAAAACCTAGCAGCTTACATTTAAATTCTGCCTTTCTTGATTTACTTGCCTAAATTTATATGGAAAAGCTACTTTTGGTTTCCATTTCTGTTACTGAACATATAGTCAGCTAACTAGTATATGATTTATCCTGCAAAACATGCCCTGTCACCAATTAAATTTTTCTCATTTGAATGGCATATACCCTAAGTGCTGCATCTGAGACCCAGTGACACTTGCAATGGTATTATTGATTAATACAAAGTTAATTTTCAAATTATTTATTTTTACTTAGAGTTTTCCTTACCATGTTTATGTGATTTTGTTTAAATTTAATCAGTTTAAAAGGAACCACATAGAGCATGTTTGTTTACTGAGAACAGAAACAAAGAATGCATTATACTTTCTAAATTAACCAAAATTTACGTTGCAATTATGCAAACAATTGTAATAGATATATGTTCTTTTCTACAGTTTCAAGTCAAATTTATATATTTCTGTATTCAATCAATCATGAGGTTAGATCACTTAAAGAGTTAACTGTATTTAGCACATACTTTTAAAATATAGTCCATTTAAAATAAAAGAACTATTTTCTTTTGTTAAGAAGATAGTGTCAAGTATAATCATATAGCAAAAATTAGGTTGATAGAAGTAGCCTGAAAATATTGTAAGTTTCAAACTTTCATTTTAAGTTGCTTATAAGTTTGTTTTTCCTTATTATAAGATGACATAACAGAAAGAGGATGCTGAATATTATCTTGTTTTTAGGAATTAAAATTGATATATTTTCATTAGCTCTGGAAAATGGAATAGTTATCAGTCTGATGAAAATATTCAATCTAGATGTTAGCTGGAAAATATAGTAAATGATATCAAGATTATATTAGAGTAGAGTCTAAAGAGTAGAATGATCCACAGGTTCATATGGGCCATTATAAAGAGATTAGTGATATTAACAATATAGTATTAAAATGGATATAATACTGAGAACCACATAAATATTACATAATATTATTAGCCGTTTTCACTTTTTTCTCCACAGAAATTCTCTGGACACCACATTTAATTTCATGGCCTCAGATGCCATGTATATACAATAATCACTTCCAAATATACAGATCACTTCCAATGTGTATTTACAGCCCTGACCTCTCCACTGAGCTCCAGACCTCCATGAATTATTGTCTATATGACACCTGCCCCTTGGTTTACAGGAACTACAAAACTAACATTTCAAAATTAAATTAGTTTTTCTCCCAACCTTGCCCTGGTTTCTTTTTTGTTTTTTGAGACAGAGTCTCACTCCGTCACTTAGGCTGGAGAGTAGTGGCATGATCTCAGCTCACTGCCACCTCTGCCTCCTGGGTTCAAGCGATTCTCATGCCTCAGCCTCCCGAGTAACTGGAATTACAAGCCCATGCCACCACGGCTAATTTTTGTATTTTTAGTAGAGATGGGGTTTTGCCATGTTGGCTAGGCTGGTCTCCAATTCCTGACCTCAAATGATCTGCCCACCTCGGCCTCCCAAACTGCTGGGATTACAGGCATGAGCCACTGCGCCTGGCCTTGCCCTGGTTTCTCTTTTCTCTATCTGATAATTGCTTACATTCATTAGCCAGGAGTGTGTCATAGTCACCTCTATGTGAAAGATGGCTAGGAAAAGGGAAGTTGGTAACTAGGATTGTGCTAGAAACCAATACTATCTGTCCCAACCACTTGCAAGCTATGTTGTTTTTGAAATAATTTCTTTGTGGCACAGTTTTTAAAAATCTGTGAATTGAAATGTGCCTGGCAAATACTATGTTCTTGGTAAATATTGTTTCAGTTATTTGTTTCTGCATAGCCAGTCACTCCAAAATGTAGTGCCTTAAAACAAATTGTTATTTTCCATGATTGCCCCAATAATGTCAGACAGGGTTCGATTACTAAAGCAAAATGACAATGCTTAAATCTATAGTTTATTACAGAAAAAAAAATACAAATAGAAAGAGCATTAAAGTTAAGAATATTCTTTATAGTCAAAGACCGTAGGGTTTCAGAGAGGCCAGCGTGAACTTTTTCTCCCCTCTCTAAGGCCATAACAGGACATGCTTTCTGTCTTGGATCAGGAACCACTGACATGTGCATGGAACACCACAGAATCAGGGAGCACAAAATGGAGTCTTGCCAGGGTTTTTTACACTCTGCTGGACATTTAGGTATATTATTACCTAACTAGCACCAACAGTAGAGCCCTCCATGGGTCTCACTGACACCAGGTACAAATAATCACTTTCACTGTTATTGATTAGCAGTGCTCACAAGCTGATGCAAACCACTCCAAAACTCATAGGACCCATACTTACAAAACAATAATATTAATTAGTAGTTTCGTATTTTGACCAGGGATCAGTGCCTTTTAGGTACTTTAGCAAAATGGCTCATGCTGATTCCAAACTTACTGGAGTTAACCTTCTCAGTAGAATGCTTCTCTGGGTTCACTGGGCTTAGGTAGTTTTTCTGATGCATGTAGTATTTCTAGTCCATGTCGTATCAGCTGGGGTGACTCATTTGGCTGCATTCATTTGGTGCTGGGGCTGGAATATCCAAGATATTTACATGTATGACACCTCAGAGGGGTTGGCTGTAATAACTGGGAGTTGGCTGGGCCTCATTTTTTGTCTAGGTAGTTAGACTACTTGTAAGGACGCTCTGGGCTCTGAGAGTGCAAATGTGGAACATATGCATGTTAAGGCCTAGGCTCAGAATTGGTGCTACATAATTTTCACTGTGCCAGTCAGATTCAAGGTGAGGGAAATGGATTCCATCTTCTAATGGAAGCATGGGATTACAGGGATAAGAGGCATTTTTGGTGACCACCTTTGTAGACAATCTATCATGACTCATTATTGTTCTAATTATTATTTTATCATCACCGAACTATTTTCTAGTCAAAGAAGATATTGTCTCTTGACCGCATTTTTGAAATAGCCTTTTTACTGGTGTCTCCGCTTCTTTTCGCACTCCGTTCTTTAATATCTTCTTCATAGGCAGTCGGATTTATCTTTTAAAAAAATTTTTCATTTTAGGTTCGGGGTACCTGGGCAGGTTTGTTATATAGGTAAATTGCGTTTCACAGGGATCTGATGCAAGTAGACCCCAGTGTCTTTTGTTCCCTTTTTTGTGTCCGTATGTATTCAATGTTTACCTCTCACTTACAAGTGAGAACATGTAGTATTTGGTTTTCTGTTCCTGTGTTAGTTCATTTAGGATAATGACCTCCAGCTCCATCTATGTTGCTGCAGAGGACATGATCTTATTCTTGTATTGTATGGCTGCATAGTATTCCATGGTGTATATGTACCACATTTTCTTTGTCCAGTGACATAGTTTCGATATGCATTATCACCCAAATCTCATATTGAAATGTAATTTCCAATGTTGGAAAGTGGGACTTGGTGGGAGGTGATTGAATCATAAGGAAGGATTTCTCGTGAATAGTTTAGCACCACCCCCTTGGTACTGTCCTCATGATAGTGGGTGAGTTCTCGTGAGATCTGGCCATTTAAAAGTAACACCTTCCCCATTGCTCTTTTGCTCCTTTCTTTTGCCATGTAAAGTGCCTACTCCCCCTTTGCCTTCTGCCATAATTGTAGGCTTCCAGAGTCCTCCTTAAAAGCAGATGCTGGTGCTATGCTTCCTGTATAGCCTGCAGAACTGTGAGCCAATTAAATCTCTTTTCTTATAAATTACTCAAGAATTTCATTATAGCAATGTGAGAATGAACTAATACATCCAGTCCACTACTGATGGGCATTCAGATTGATTCCATGCCTTTGCTATTGTGTATAGTGCTGCAGTGATCATATGCATGCATGTGTCTTCATAGTAGAATGATTTATATTCCTTTGAATAGATACCCAATAATGGGATTGCTTGGTCAAATGATAATTCTGTTTTAAGTTCTTTGAGAAATTGCCAAACTGCTTTCCAGCAATGGCTGAACTAATTTACATTCCCACCAGCAGTGTATAAGCATTCCTTTTTCTCTGCCACCTTGCCTGCATCTGTTATTTTTTGACTTTTTAGTAATAGCCATCCTGACCAGTGTGAAATGGTACCTGATTGTCATTTTTATTTGCATTTCTCTAATGATTAGTGATGTTGAGCATTTTTTTCATATGCTTGTTGGCTGTGTTGCATGTTTTCTTTTGCAAAATGTCTGTTCATTGCCTATTTTTTAAAGTAGGCAAAAGGGGGCTGTTTGTTCTTTGCTTGTTAATTTGTTTAGGTAGTTTCCTTATAGATTCTGGATATTAGATCTTTGTCAGATACATAGTTTCCAAATTTTTCTCTCATTCTATAGGTTGTCTGTTTACTCTGTTAATAGTTTCTTTTGCTGCACAGAGCTCTTTGTTTTTGTTGCAATTGGTTTTGGCATCTTTGTCATGAAATCTTTGCCAAGTCCTATGTCCAAAAGGGTATTTCCTGAGTTATCTTTCAGGAATTTTATAGTTTTAGATTTCACAGTTAAGTCTTTAATCCATCTTGAGTTGATTTGGTGTAAGAAAGGGATCCAGTTTAAGGAAGGGATCCAGTTTCAATCCTCTGCATGTGGCTAGTTATCCTAGAATCATCTATTAAACGAGGAGTTCTTTCACCATTGCTTGTTTGTGTTGACTTTGTTGAAGATCAGATGGTTAAGATGGTAGTAGGTGTGTAGCATTCTTTCTGGGCTCTCTATTCTGCTCTATTGGTCTATGTGTCTGCTTCTGTACCAGTACCATGCTGTTTTGGTTACTGTAGCCTTGTAGTATAGTTTGAAGTCAGGTAGTGTGATGTCTCCAGCTTTGTTCTTTTTGCTTAGAATTACTCTGACAATTCAGTCTCTTTTTTGGTTCAATATAAATTTTAAAATAGCTTTCTTTTTTCTAATTCTATGAAGAATGTCATTGGTAGTTTAATAGGAATAGTACTGAATCTATAAATTGCTTTGGGCAGTATGGCTATTTTAACAATATTGATTCTTACTATCTCAGAGCATGGAATTTTTTTTGTCTGTTTGTGTCATCTCTGATTTGTTTCAGCAGGGTTTTGTAGTTCTCATTGTAGAGAAAGAAATCTGCCTCCATTATCCAGTTACCTCCCACCATGCCTTCCTTCAACATGTGGGGTTTACAATTCAACATGAGATTTGGGTGGGGACACAGCAAAACCATGTCTGGTGGGTTCAGTTGACTGGCCTCATTTCTGTTTTCTAGGAGTCACTGGGGACCAGAAATGAGTCCTGGTGTGTGGTAACCCCATGCAGGGTTCCCAGCTTCCTCCCACTTTAGCTCAACATCTGTATTCTCTATCTGTTCATTTTTAGTGCCTTCCCTTTGAACATCTACTCAGGGTGTGCTAGTCTTTTCCCAATATCCTGGTTTCTCAGTGGCAGATGTTCCTCTTGGCTGTGTCTAGTCAGCCATCTTAGTTTCCTATCAATTTATCTTTTTAAAATGTAATCTGACTTAAAAAAGACAACCCAAAAGGAAAATGGTGGATAGGAGGCAGGACTAACTTGCAGCTTCCACTTGGACAGACAGAGCCGTGTGGAGAGACCCACATTGTATACTTTTCCTCCAAGAACTATCACAGAAACATACCGGGAAAGCCATGAGAATTCACAGACACATTGAAGGAGGTGATTGCCACTGCAGGCTTTGTGGGACAGCCAAGGAACTGTGAGTCAGCTTGCTTTCTCAGCTGGGAGGCTTGTAGCCTTGGGCAAGTTCTCATCCCTGTTCACTGGCTTCCTGGAAATAAACTCAGTGCTATTGCAGGGGGTGGGGGGGTGAGGGGGCAATGGTGGGAGTGAGACTGGCCTTTCGGGGTGCAGGCAGCATGGGGGAGTAGGGTGAGACCTGTGGATGCTGGCTTTCTACCACTTTCCTGGTGACCTGTGTGACGCAGCAAAGACAACCATAATCCCTCTGGGAACATAACTCCATTGGCCTGGGAACCACATCCCTATTATCTCACAGCAGCCACAGCAAGTCCTACCCAAGGAGAGGCTGAGCTCAGACACGCCTAACTCTGCCCCAACCTGATGATCTTTCTCTACCTGCCCTTGTAGCTGAAGACAAAGGACATAATCTCTTGGGAGCTCTATGGCTGCATCCACTGCCTGATCCTCCCTATGCAACTGCAGCTGATGTGCTCTTGAAAGTGCCACCTCCTAGCTTGGGGCCGACCAACACAAAACCAGTACACTTAACAAAAATACAATCAAGGACCCTCACAGAGTCCACTTCACTCCCCTGCTACCTCCACCAGAGTAGGTGCTGGTATTCATGGCTGAGAGACCTGAAGATGGGTCACATCGCTTTGCACATACTCCCCTGTACCAGCCTGGAGTTCAGTATCTCTGCCGGGTGGCTAGATCTGGAAGAGAAACAATAATCACTGCAGCTCAGGTCTCAGGAAGCCACATCCCTAGGGGATAGGGGAGGCAATAGAGTTAAACTATACCCTACAACGAATGGACTTAACAGATATTTACAGAGCATTCTACCCAACAACTGCAGAATATACGTTCTGTTCATCAATGCATGAAACATTCTCCAAGGTAGGCCATATGATAGGCCACAAAAAAAGTCTCAACAAATTAAAACAAAATGAAAATATTGCAAGTATTCTCTCAGACCACAGTGGAATAAAATTGGAAATCAATTCCAAAGGGATCCCTCAAAACCATGCAAATACATGGAAATTAAATAACCTGCTCCTGAATGAACGTTGGGTTAAC
This sequence comes from Homo sapiens, assembly GCF_000001405.40. NCBI lineage: Eukaryota > Metazoa > Chordata > Mammalia > Primates > Hominidae > Homo > Homo sapiens. Next base: position 97,994,217 of record NC_000004.12, on the reverse strand, counting down.
AATGAAATAAAGTTGGAAATTAAAAAATTCTTTGAACTGAATGGTAAGAATGATACAACCTCTCAAACCTGTGTAATATAGAAGTAGAAGAAAAGAAGTAACAAAAATCAGGGCAGAACTAAATGAATTGAAACAACAACAACAACAACAAAACAATACAAAAGATAAATGAAACAAAAAACTGGTTATTTGAAAAGATAAATAAAATTAATAGATCATTAGTGAGATTAATGAAGAAATGAAGAGAGAAGATCCAAATAAGCTTAATTAGAAATGAAACAGGAACTATTAAAACTGATACCACAGAAATACAAAAGATCATTCAAGGCTATTTTGAACACCTTTACGCACATAAACTAGAAGACCTAGAGGAGATGGATAAATTCCTGGAAATAGGCAACCCTTTTAGATTAAACCAGGAAGAAAGAGAAACTCTGAACAGACCAATAACAAGCAGCAAGATTGAAATGGTAATTAAAAAGCTACCAACAATAAAAAGTCCAAGACCAGATGGATTCACAGCTGAGTTCTGTCAGACATTCAAAGAAGAATTGGTACCAATCCTATTGATACTATCCCACAAGATAGAGAGGGAATCCTCCAACAATTATTCTATGAAGCCAGTATCACCCTAATGCTAAAACCAGGAAAGGACATAACAAAAAAAAAAAATAGAAAAGAAAACTAAAGACCAATATCCCTGATGAACACAGATGCAAAAATCCTCAACAAAATACCAGCTAACAGAATCCAACAGCATATACAAAAGATAATCCACTATGATCAAGTGGGTTTCATACCAGGGATGCAGGGATGGTTTGACATCTGCAAGTCAATAAATGTGATATACTACATAAATAGAATTAAAAATCACTTGATCATCTCAATAGACACAGAAAAAGCATTTGACAAAATCCAGCATTCCTTTAGGATTAAACCCTCAGCAAAATCGGCATAGAAGGGACACACCTTAAGGTAATAAAAGTCATCTATGATAAACCCACAGGCAACATTATAGTAAACAGAAAAAAGTTGAAAGCATTCTTCCTGAGAACTGGAGCAAGACCAGGATGCCCACTTTCATCACTTCTACTCAACATAGTACTGGAAATCCTAGCCAGAGCAATCAGACAAGAGAAAGAAATAAAGGGTATCCAAATTGGTAAAGAGGAAGTTGTCAAACTATTGCTATTTGCTGATGACATTATCATATACCTGAAGACCTGAAAGATTCATCCAAAAAGCTCCTAGAATTGGTAAATGAATTCAGCAAAGTTTCAGGATACAAAATTACTGTACACAAATCAGTAGCTCTGCTTATACCAACAGTGATTAAGCTGAGAATCAAATCAAGACTCAACCCTTTTACAATAGCTTAAAAAATACTTAGGTATATACTTAACTAAGGAGGTGAAAGACCTCTCAAAGGAAAACTACACTGCTGAAAGAAATCATAGATGGCACAAATAAATGGAAACACATCCCATGCTCTTGGATGGGTAGAATCAATCTTGTAAAAATGACCATATTGCCAAAGCAATCTACAGATTCAATGCAATTCTCATTAAAATACCACCATAATTCTTCACAGAACTAGGAAAAACAATCCTAAAATTCATACGGAACCAAAAAAGACCCACATAGCCAAAGAAAGACTAAGCAAAAAGAACAAATCTGAAGGCATTACATTACTCGACTTGAAACTATACTACAAGGCTATAGTCACCAAAACAGCATGGTACTGATACAGAAATAGGCACACAGACCAATGGAACAGAATAGAGAACCTAGAAATAAACCCAAAAACTTACAGTCAACTGATCTTTGACAAAGCAAACAAAAACATAAAGTGGCGAAAGGACACCCTATTCAACAAATGGTGCTGGGATAATTGGCAAGCCACATGTGAATGAATGAAACTGGATCCTCATCTCTCATTGTATACAAAAATCTGCTCAAGATTCATCAAAGACTTAAATCTAATACTTGAAACCCTAAAAATTCTAGAAGATAACATTGGAAAAACCCTTCTAGACGTTAGCCTAGGCAAAGACTTCATGACCAAGAACCCAATAGCAAACGCAACAGAAACAAAGATAAATGGATGGGATTTAATTAAACTAAAAAGCTTCTGCACGGGAAAAGTAATAATCAGCAGGGTAAACAGATAACCCATAGAGTGGGAGAAAGTCTTCACAATCTATACATCTGAGAAAGGACTAATATTCAGAATTTATAAGAAACTCTAATCAGCAAGAAAGAAAACAATTTCATAAAAAGTGGGCAAAGGACATGAATAGACAATTCTCAAAAGAAGATATACAAAGGGCCAACAAACATATGAAAAAATGCTGAACATCAATAATTGTTAGGGAAATGCAAATAAAAATCACAATGTGACACCACCTTTCTCCTGCAAGAATGGTCATAATAAAAAAATTTAAAAAAATTAGATGTTGGCATGGATGTGGTGAAAAGGGAACAGTTTTCCACTGTTTGGTGGGAATATAAACTATTAAAACCACTATGGAAAACAGTGTGGAAAGTCCTTAAAAAACTAAAAGTAGATCTACCATTTGATCCAGCAATCCCACTACTGGGTATCTACCCAGAGGAAAATCAGTCATTGTACGAAAAAGATACTTGCACACACATGTTTATAGCAGCACAATTTGCAATTGCAAAAGTATGGAAGGAGCCCAAATGCCCATCAATGAGTGGATAAAGAAAATGTGGTATATATACATATATATATATACACACACACACACACACACACACACACACTGAGTAGTATTCCATGGTGTATATATATACACATATATATACACATATATATACATATATATATACACCACACACACATATATACACACATATATATATGTGTATGTGTGTATATATATGTGTGTGTGTGCGTATATATGTATATATGTGTGTGTATATATACACCATGGAATACTACTCAGCCATAAAAAGGAATGAAATAATGGCATTCACAGCAACCTGGGTGCAATTGGAGACCATTAATCTAAGTGAAGTAACCCAGGAATGGAAACCCAGTCTCACTCATAAGTGGGAGCTAAGGTATGAGGACTCAAAGGCATAAGAATGATACAATGGGCTTCGGGGACTCGAGGGAAAGGGTGGGATGGAGGTGAGGGATAAAAGAATACACTTTGGGTACAGTGTACACTGCCTGGGTGATGGGTGCTCCAAAATCTCAGAAATCACCACTAAAGAATTTACTCATGTAACCAAATAACATCTGTTTCCCAAAAACCTATTGGAAGAAAAAAATGGTAGTAATAATCATTACTGATTATGGTATAGGAATAAAGTTTAAACTGTATGTTTTTTCCCCAGTTTTCCAATCCCTGCACATAATGTGATCAAATGGAAGATTATACTTCAGTTTTTAAAGAAAGAAAATCATTTTTTGTTAGGTTACAGATGAAAAGATGCCATAAATAACCTGTTTCAATAAATTTTAAGCTTTGTTTCCACGGCAGTATACTTTCAAGGTCTGGGTCTTTTTCCTTAGAATAGATGTGATTACTAAAAGATGCTATGGTAGTGATTCATTTTGTGCCAGTCTGTGGTTCTTTACTGTGCTTGAGAATCATATGTGGGGCTTATTAAAAAGTAGATTCCCATACTCAACAAGATTCTGATTCATTAGGTCTAAGATGAGAACTGGGGGGCTATGTATTTAATAGGTTGATATTAATGCAGGTTGTCTTTTGGTCACAATTTGGAAAACAGGATGAACATCACAGCATTTTCAACTTTGAGGGTTGGTCTCCTCAAAGTGTTTTTTCCTTCTTTATAATGTCATAAGTGGAAACCTGCCCTTTAGTGGTCAGTTGTCACAGACTTATTTTGGAGCTTATTTCTAAGTGGCTTATTAAATCTGAAACCTAGCTTTTTAGAAGCAAGGACCTCATTTGATTGTTCTATGTTATTTTAGTGAAGGAAAGTTCAATAACATTAGGATCTTTACAAAAAAGCAGAAGAAAAGAAAAAGGAAGTATTTCTTGAAGGATTCAAGATTTCATTTGTCCATTTATGCAAAAAATTCTTCTTAAGTTGAAGTATATTCATTTATAATTCACATGTAATCTTTTCCCTATGACCTCTAGTAGTGACCACTTACACAACTGTTGAAAATAGTAGAAAAGTAATTCTGGTTTGTTAGTAGGTGATTGTTTTGATCATGTTGGCCTATATAGCACTCTCCCTTTATCTGCACCTTCACCTCCTGTGGTTTTAGTTACTTGTGATGAACCACAGTCTGAAAATATTAAATGGAAAATTCCAGAAGTAAACAATTTGGTTTAAAATTGCATGCCATTCTGTGTAGTGTGATGAAATCTCTCAACTTCTTGCTTTGTCCCACCTGGTAGGTGAAGCCCATTAGTCACTTAGCTGTTTTGGTTATCAGATTGACTGTTGGGGTATCCCAGTTCTTGTGTTCAAAGAACCCTTATTTTAACTAATAATGGCTCCAAAGTGCAAGAATAGTGATGCTAGCAAGTTGGATATGCCAAAGAGAAGTTGTAAAGTGCTTCCTTTGGAAAGGTGAAAGTTATTGACAATAAGGAAAGAAAAAAATTATATGTTGAGGTTGCTAAGATCTGCAGTAAGTATGAATCTTCTATCTGTGAAATTGTGAACAACATTTATTATAATTGTTCTATTTTATTAATTATTGTTATTAATCTTTCTGTGTCTAAAATATGTTAAACTTTATCATAGATATATATGTATAGAAAAAAACATAGTGTATATAGGGTTTCATACTATCCTCAGTTTCAGGCATTCACTGGGAGACTTGGAACCTATCCCTTCTGGATAAGGAAGGAGTACTGTATAGGGAGAAGAAGAATACGGCATATCTGTATAGCTTCAGAAAATAGGCTAACGCTATGTATTTGAATTTATGCTCCCCATATTTCTATATTTATTGCATATTTTGCAGGTTTATATAGCCACAGAATTGTGTAGAAGTTTCTTTTCTTCTGAACTTAACTTACTACAAGTTGATAGATAAAAAAAATCTTACATATCATTGCTGAAGTGCCTCTTTTCTACCAGCCAGCAAATAATGGCAAGAATCTGCTCATTTAAGCCAAGGTGTCATGCACTTTTGGATAACTTTTTAGAATCTAACCTATTTAAAATAAAAGATACTTCTGTATTAGTTTCTCGTAAATTTTTAGTTTCTCCTAATTTTTTTTCAAATTATTATCAGTTTAAAAAAATACATAGGATTTACATATTTTATCATAATTAGAAATGGCTGGCCAGGCGCAGTGGCTCACGCCTGTAATCCCAGAACTTTGGGAGGCCAAGGCGGGCAGATCGCTTGAGCTCGGTTCAAGACCAGTCTGGGGAACCCAAGATCAACATGGCAAAAACCCATCTCTACCAAAAATACAAAAGTTAGCCGGGCCTGGTGGCGCATGCCTGTGGTTCCAGCTACTCAGGAGGCTGGGTTGGAGGACTGCTTGAGCACGGGAGGCGGAGGTTGCAGTGAGATGAGATTGGGCCACTGCACTCCAGCCTGGGTAACAGAGTGAGAGCCCATATCAAAAAACAAAATATAAGAATTAGAAATGGCTAATGCACTTATTTGGAGCCACATTATTTTCAATAGGAACCCATCATCAAATTCATAATGTAGTCAGTGAAAATGTAGGATTCAATTCATGTACCCATCCATTCTTCTTGCAAATATTAACTGAACCCTACTGTGTTTCAGGTACTGTTTTATACTCTAGAGATATAGCAGTGAGCCAAACAGAAAAAGAAAATGACTTGACCTTTCTGGAGCTTAGAATATAGCAGAAAATTTTATTTTGGATAGCAATAAATAATAAGGTTAAAAAAAGCAGAGAAGGGGACATAAATTGTTTGGAGGTGGTAATGAAATTTTAGATTAGGTGGCCTGGAAATGACTCATTGAGAAGGTGACATTGTATAGTGACCTGATTATAATGAAGGAGAAATCTGAAGAGAACATTTGAAGCAGACAGACTGCCAAATGCCAAGGTCGTGAAGCAGATATATGCCTGATCTGTTTGAGGAAGATATGTAGCAAAGTGAATGAGGGGAGATGGTAGTAGGAGATGAGGTTAGAGAGGTAATATGTGTGTGTGTGTGTGTGTGTGTGTGTGTGTGTGTGTGTGACATTCAGACCATATTAAGGATTTGACTTATGTTCTGAGATTGGCAACCACTGGGTGGGTTTGAGAAGCGGAGTGATACAATCTGACTCGGATTGTGGAACAGCTGCTTCACTGGCTGCTATGTCAGTAGACTGAAGATGGACAAGGATGGGAGCAGGGGACAGTTAGGGGACTTTTAAAATAATTCAGGTAAGAGATGGTAGTGGCTTTGATCAGAGTGGTAGTTGTGGAGGTGGAGAGAAGTGGTTGGATTTGGAAATATTATAAAGATAGAAATGACAGGATATAATGATAGAATTTCATTATACATCTAATTTATAAGCCAATTATTCAATTAGTAACTCAAGGAGTAATTCTTTCAGACAAAGAAAAATAGTTTAGGTATGTATGAAGCAGACGATTTGAATTGATAAGTATAAAAGGTACTTATCAATGTAATTAAAATATTTGATGATGAAAAAATAGTACTTCTTAATATTTATTTATATGACTAAGAATATAAAAAACTCAACCTCAGAACTTACTGAATTAATTCTTATCTGTTATAAAGTATCTAGTTAAAAGCTTAATTTCTTACAATTAACATATGTAGTTAAACTATTTCCTAAAGCCTATTTGATGGAAAAAACACGTTGATTTACATACATTTAAAAAGACAGTACAAAATTTTTTAGAGACAAGCTAGCTGTATACTTTTAAATGGAAGAACTAGAGAAGTCATTTTTCATTTTTCTTTCTTCATTTTAGTATTTAATCATGTGAAGAGCTGGATAATTTTTTCTGAGCTTTATCAGTAGAGGGCAGCAAAGTTTCAGGTAGTGTGTTTTCAGGTTCAAGGGCTGCTTTGCTAAGGAAATTTTTTTTGCTGCTCTTAAGTTTGTTCCAGCTTGCCTTTTAATGAAGTGCTTTGGTAATATTATGTAGGAATTCACTTAAAAACTCTGTGGCTGTGGTTCAGATATTTAGCCAACTCTTCCCTTAGGTGCTATAGATACTTTCTTAATGAGAACATGTATTTCTTTTTGTGATTTAGGGAGTACCAGGGCCTGGAAAATATGACATTAAAAGTCAATTTCAGAAGATAGAAAGTATGACACCAAATGCAAATGATGCATCTCCTGCTTTTCTTTCTCAATCCCAGGTAATGGTCTACAGCCATTTTCATATATAGAGTCTAATAGGCATAGTGTGAGGCCAGCAACACATTCAATGATGTTTAAAGGTTATAAGAAGAAAAGTGATATTTAAGCAAATTGGAAATAGACATGGTCTAGGAAAAATATATTGCCAAAACATATGGGTAAAATGAAGTGAAATAAAATTAGAAATACACAGATGAATATTTGAATAGAACCATCTATTAAACATTTTCTATTAAGCAAATTTGCATATATGAATGTTCAGTTCAGTTTATAAGAAATGTCTTCTTTAGTCTGTTTTAAAATATACTTTGCCAATGAATGTGTGGAGTGTTAACATGTAAGCTATATAGGCTTGCATCTCTTTCTGAAAAGGTTCTGAAGGCATTCTGTGGAGCCTGGCCATAGGTCATTTCTACAGCTGCCACTGGGACCTTCACTAGTGATACAACAGTCATAGAGTATATTTTGCAGTAACCATTTCACATACTCCCAGGAATATACTAAGAGGAACTGAAGGTATCTAACATATTTGTAAGGCAAGACAATTATAATACTAGCAAACCTTTATTATGTGGCAGCCTCCAGACCAAAGTGATTGTGATATTTATCCACCTGTGGTATGTATGGCTCTGATTATCTTATTTAACTTGGGAAGAATATTAACCTTCAGGTGACTATAGACGACTACTTTGATTTTATTGTACTTAAGAGACACCTCCTTGGAGACAAGTAGATAGATTGCAAGTATATTTGGAGATAAAATTAACATGATTTTTAATGGGCTAGATGATGTTATAAGGGACTGAGAGGAATCAAGAATGAATACTAGATTTCTGCATCAAGCAACTTAATGATGCTTAAGGTACTACAAGAGATGGATGTGGGGAAGACAGGATATTTTCTGTGTGTGTGTATGTGTGTGTGTGTGTGTGTGTTTGTGTGCGCTCACGTGCGCTTGCGCATGTGCCTGTGCATGCATGTGCGTGTATGTGTACCCTTGATTTTTTAAAAATATGATTTTTACAAATAAAATCTCAGGTTTCATACTATTTCTGTTAATCTGATATATAGCCCTAACCTTACATCACTTGACAATAATCATATTTTAAAATATATTTTTAGAAATAGAAAAGAATATGATATCAATTTGGTTTAAGGGGATGATGGGGAAAAGAATAATGGTTCTGCAGTAAAAGATATGGAAGAGTTTAAACAGGATAACCTGCTAGGGGTAATGTTAATGTTTATTTGAATATGAATAGATACATATAAGTGATTAAGATAGAAAAAGAAATAACACAATTAACAAAGTAGACTTAGAACACAGAATTTCTGGTTTGTAGGAATAAAGACAGATACATTTCTGAGATGCTTATTTTAGTCATTGATTTAGGAGTTGTCGGGCATTTTATCTAAATGCATTGAATTGCCTTATGTCTTCAATTATTAATTTTAAATACACAATATTTCCTTTATGGCAATGGCCCTTACCCCTGGATGCATATTAAAAACATCTGAGGAATTTAAATACATTCTGATACCCAAGTGCCAACATGCCCTTTGCTCTTCCTTCCAGAAATTGATTCAGTTGGTTCAGAATAGGGCCTAAACAGTAATATATATATTTTAATTCCTCAAGTAATTCTAATAAGCAGCCATGGTTGAAAACTATCATTTTATAAACATTATACTTAGCATCTAAAATAATAAGATAGTATTTAGGATAATAAATTTCAGAGTCCTTTTAGTACTTCCAATAATAAATTATTATTTTAGTAGTGTTAATATTTACCTACTTTACACAACTCAAAAGAACATATATGTTGTACTATATTTTTGTTTAAAAAAGATAGGAAAATAGGAAAACATACACATAACTACTTGGCTATATAAACACGATGAAGATAAACCAGAAAACAATGATGTTAGTTATCTACAAGGGATGGTGAGGAGGTAAAGTGCAAGCACTGGTATGCTGCTGTTTATTTGTACTGGCTTGCAAGACCCAATTGTTAAGTTTCCAGGAGTTTTGCAAGCTGGCTGACATTATGTTGGTAGTGTGAAATTAGCCACTGTTGCGGGTAATCAGCAAATGTTGCAAATTGAGACTTTTCTGTCCCAAGTAGCGCAGCATCCCCAACAGGGGGCGTAACACTTCTTTGACTACACTTCAAAAAATACGTATTTATCTTTTGGAAAGATTTCAATGTTTCATATATTAAAAAATAAAAATAAATCAGTAAGAATGGGAAAAGTTAAAAACTAAACTGAAAACAAATGGAAACAAATGAGCAGTTTTATTTCAAATGAATGCCCTTAACTACACTGAAGGGAAAAAAAGAAGTAATAATCCAGGTAACCATAGTATTTGACTATATCAGTCTTCGATGGGGGCTGGAATTGGAGGGTGAGTGGGTAGTGAATGTAAGAATTGGAAACAGGGCGGGTGCGGTGGTTCATGCCTGTAATCCCAAGACTTTGGGAGGCTGAGGCGGGTGGGTTACTTGAGGTCAGCAGTTTGAGACGAGCCTGGCCAACATGGCAAAATCCAGTCTCTACTAAAAATACAAAGATTAGCTGGGCATTGTGGCATGTGCTTGTAATTCCAGCTACTCAGAAGGCTGAGGCACGAGAATCCTCTGAACCCAAGAGGTGGAGGTTCCAGTGAGTCGAGATTGCGCCTGTGTGATGGAATGAGACTCTGTCTCAGAAAAAAAGAAAAAAAGAAGAATTGGAAACAAATTCTTAATTATTTTTAGTAGGTTGGTTTATTGGGATGGTATGGGTAAAGCAATTATAAAACTATCTTAGAATATCACAAGTTTGAGCAAAAAAGTTGATAATCTGAGGTATGGTTTTCATTGTTAAGGAAGGTGCATACAAATATGGATTGGAGGAGGTGAAAGAGGACCTTGTGGGATGGATTTGAATTGAAGGCTTTTATGTGAACTCATGATTTTTAATATATATTTATATGTATGAATATATGCATATATATGTGCACATGTAAATGTATATATGTTCACATGTCTATGTATGAGTGTATATATGTATGTGTGTGTTTCTCCCTCTCATTCTCTGTGAATGTGTGTATGTCCTAGCTCTGTCTGCTAAATGAACTAAGAAGCAAAGATACCCCAGTAGCAAGGGACACATCAAGTGCCCAGATCTTGGTCTCTAATTCTATTCCTACTGAAAGAAAAAGGATTCCTCAGAGAAATAACTGATTCCAGGGTAGGTGGAAGAGGACAGTGTAACATTTTATTTCAGAAAGTAAGTTCTAAACGAGATAATGATGAGAGCATATCACAGGGACATAGGAAACAATATGAAGGGCCCCCCACCTGCTCAGTAATGAATTATAAATCGTTAACATTGGCATTCATGAGTCAATGTGGATAATAAATAGATAACTAAGTACAGTTGACCTCTGAACAATGTAGAGATTAGGGATGCCAACCCTCCAAGCATTTGAAAATCTGCATGTGGCTTTTGACTCCTCCCAAACTTAGCTACAAATTGGCTATTGTTAACTGGAAGCCTTACCAATAACATAGTCAAATAACACATATTTTGTATGTTATATGTGTTATGTACTGTATACTTACAATAAAGTAAGCTAGAAAAAAGGAAATGTTATTAAAAAATCACAAGGAAGAGAAAATATATTTACTATTTATTAAATGGAAGTAAATTACTATAAAGCTCTTGTCATTACATTCAATAGACTAGGAGGAGGAAGAAGAGGAAGGGTTGGTCTTTCTATCTCAAGGGTGGCAGAGACTGAAGAAAATTTGTGTATAAGTGGAACCACATTGTTCAAACCCGTGTTGTTCAAGGGTCGACTATAGATAGGTAAGTAGATAGCTAATGAAATAAATAATTGAAGGAGAAGGGAGAGCACTTGCTTACAGTAGAATGCTAAGTACTTATTATAAATATAGAGGCAGTGTTGAATTTGATCAAAATTAAAATTACCAGTGAAGACCAGCAGACATCACATCTCCAGATATGATATCCTGGGAAAGCCACACATCACCCACCTAGTAGTATGTCCAGAAATGTATAACCTGGATATAATTATGAGGAAATATCAGGTAAGCCTCAAGTAAGTAAGGTTCTATTATACAAAAGGGTGATTCTCCCAAAATGTTAAAATCACAAAACACAAAGGAAGGCTGTAGAAATGTTCCTACATTAAAGGACATAAAAGAGACATGATGACTAAAGCAATATGTGACTCTAAACTAGATTATGTACTGAAGGGGAAAAATGCAGTAGAGGCCTTATTAGATCAGCCGACGAATTTGGAATACGAATCCTAGATTACATGAAAGCATTAGATCATTGATACATTTACTGAAGTTGATAACTGTACTGTGGATATGTAAGAAAATATCTGCATTTTTTTTGTAAATACATACTGAAGTATTTGTGGGTAAAGAGCCATGAAATATGCAACTTTCAAAATCTGTGTGTGTGTGTGTGTGTGTGTGTGTGTGTGTGTAGAGTAAGAGAGACAGAGGAAGAGAAAGACAAACAGACAAAACAGAGATAGAGTTGGCAAAGAAAAAAAGGCAAATGAGGTAACATGATAATAGAGGAATCTGGGTAAAGGTTATACACATATTTTCTGTATTATTTTTATTCATGCATCTTCTCTGTAAATTTGAAATTCTTTTCAAATGAAAAGTTAAAAAGATTATACAATGCTAGCTCACATCTGTAATCCCAGCACTTTGGGAGGCTGAGACGGGCAAATCACAAGGTCAGGAAATTGAGACCATCCTGGCTAACACGGTGAAACCCCGTTTCTACTAAAAATACAAAAAAATAGCTGGGCATGGTGGCGGGTGCCTGTGGTCCCAGCTGCGTGGGAGACTGAGGCGGGAAAATGGTGTGAACCCGGGAGGTGGAGCTTGCAGTGAGCCGAGATCGCGCCACTGCACTCCAGCCTGGGCAACAGAGCGAGACTCCGTCTCAAAAAAAAAAAAAGATTATACAGTGCTATATCTCATGAATTTATAGTTATATATATATATATATATATAAACATTTTATATATATAATGTTAATAAGTTTAAAAGTTAAACTGAATTGATAAACCACTGAATCTAAGATTTTTTTTGAGATATCTAATGATACTGTTGAGTTAATTGAATATACATGTTGAGGAACTTTTTCAATAAATATAATTTGATCACATAAAATAACGTGTTAGATCATATAGTTTTTTATTTATATTAACTGGCAGAATATTTTAAGTATGATCATTATCCCTACACTATCATCTAGAGTCTCATGTTGAGATTATTTTCTTCTAAAAGTCTGTCTGCCTTAGTAAGGCACATAATACATTACTATATTAGTATACAGGTGATTTTACTAAAAGCTATATATTTTATGTTTTGATGGGTACAAGATCTTAGTTCATCTACATTTTCTTCACTCCATTAAGAAATAAATTAACTCCAGATGTTATATTACTCAAAAGGCAGGTTTTAACTCATGAAGTATCAAAATGTACTATACTTTCTTATTGGCATATTTTCCTGTTCTTCACTAGAGATTTTTACCTATGAAATCAATCACCCCGGCTCCTGGCACATATAATGAACCTCGAACTGCTCTCAAGTCTTTGAAGAAAACATCAGGACTGAAAAATATTCCATTTGGTCAAAGTGCTGTTCGATTCACACAGGACATCAGGACAGAGGAAATGCCAGGTTAGCAATTTATCTATATATGTCTACTCTTTGGCTTTATAAAGAAACTTAATGTTCTTAACAAGATGGATACACCAGAGAGTATGTTTTCTTTTTTGTCCTATGGTTGGTGTCATTTTAAGTCAACATTTTTTAAAGCATTCACTATACATTAAACACAGATAAATCAAAATAATATACAGTTTTAGTAAGATTTCAGTTTAACATTCTGCACATCCTAATTATAATTTTCTGTTGTTTTTCTTTATTTGGTAAATTTTCTGATTTTTTTCTTGGCAGATGAACAACATAATATATCAACTATGTGGTCACCATTAGTAATATAATTTATGATGTTCAGTTTTGTTAAACTTTTTTATTTCAGAGGTTTTCAATCATGTATTCTGGTATTCTCAGTGGATATTTTAGTGTTCAGAGCTAAGAATATAGAACCAAAATAAATTATAAAATTGCTGACATACAGTTCTGGGCATCTATTGCTGTTCAACAATCTTAGTCGCTTAAAACAACAGGCTTTTCTATTATATATCATTATTTTGTGGGATGGCTAGAAGGCAAGGCTCAGATGGGTCTGTTATTCAAAGGATGTACTTAGCTCCAGCATGGCTGCCTGAGGGCAGCCTAACATTTAACATGGTGGCCCAGGGTTCCATGAGACCTGACCAGATGCTGCAAGATTTTTTATGACCCAGCCACAGAACTCCCAGGATATCATGTCTTCTGCATTCTATTAGTTAATTAAGTCACTCAGAGTAGCACATATTGATTGAAAGGACATGAAACTTTATCTCTCAGTGAGAAGAGTAGCAAAGAATTGATGGCCAACTTTAATCTACTGTATGATCAATTCCCTGGCTACAAAAATATTTACATTGTTCCTACATGCACCTACTCCTTCTCAAGGACCCAAAAGTTTCATGTAATTATGTCATAATTTCAAACTCCAGGATCATTTTTTAAAAAAATTTTTGAGGCATGATCTCTCTCTCTCTGTCATCCAGGCTGGAGTTCAGTGGCATGATCATAGTTCACTGCAGCCTCCAACTCCTGGCTCAAAGGATCCTCCTGCTTCAGCCTTCTGAGTAGCTGGGACTACAGGTGTGTGCTACAATGCCTGGCTATTTTAAAAAAATTTTCGCCTGGCACGGTGGCTCACACCTTTAATCCCATAACTTGGGGAGGCTGAGGCGGGTGGATCATGAGGTCAGGGGATCGAGACCATCCTGGCCAACATGGTGAAACTCCATCTATACTAAAATACAAAAAATTAGTCGGGTGTGGTGGTGCGCATCTGTAGTCCCAGCTATTGGGGAGGCTGAGGCAGGGGAATTGCTTGAACCTGGGAGGCGGAGGTTGCAGTGAGCCGAGATAGTGCCACTGCACTCCAGCCTGGCAACAGAGCAAGACTCCGTCTCAAAAAAAAAAAAAAAGAAATTGTGGAAATGAGGCCTCATTTCGTTGCCCAGGCTGGTCTTTAACTCCTAACCTTAAATGATCTTTCCACCTCGGCTCTCAAAGTATTGGGATTACAAGCGTAAGCCACAACTCCCAGCCCCGGGTCTTGTCATCTAAGTCAGGTATAAGTGCAGATGAGGATTCTTATTTGTGGTTCTTAAGATACAGCTCCTTCTCTATAAGCAGAGCTGTGAACCAAAGAGAGGATTGTTTCATCCATCATACAGTGGTGGGAGAGATATAGGATAATCAGATCAGACACTCCTGTTCAGGAAGAGGGAAAACTGGAGGCCCACAACAGTCACAGTACCATAGCAATTCTGAAAATCAGCTGGGCACATGTTAGCATTTCCTTGATGAGGATCCAGTAAGGCTCTCTGGGGGGAATGATTTTCTGTGGTTGTTTGTTCTGCCTTTTAGGCTCTTGGTTCTGCTGAGTCATCCTTTTTTCTCTATGAAATAGGCTGTGTTTGCCGCTGTAGCTTTCTCAGCCTGCTTCTATCAGCTTCTTTTCCTTTTTACTCTCATTGTCCCTTTTATCCCAAGATGATACGATTCTTATAAAACCTTTGAGTTTCTTATTGTTTTAATTTATAATCAAATCCACTAGACAAAAGCCACAGTTACATTTTCTTAGAAAAACTGTTTTAAATCACCTGTGAGGCTGTTACATGTTTTGTGTCACCTTTGTCTATTTTGTATCACCTTTGAGGCTATTATGTTTTTAACACCCTTAAGTTGTTAGGGCACCATTGTCTAAGTGAAAAGGCCCAGGATAAAGACCTTAAGATTCTTAAGGCCCCTTTTTGAGAAGTTCTATGAGGGATTACCATAAATATTTCTAAAGGTCTTACAGCCAAATCCTGCTTTACATCTTTTCCTTTAAGCCCCTTCTTACTTTGAGAGATTTTTGTTATCTGGATAGACTGGGGATGAAAAACAGTTTATTTTCAAATCTAGGAAATTCTAGTTCCTTTTTATTTCCTATACATTCTCCTTGAAAAGTTATACACTGTATTACTTTTTATTTATTTTTAACTTTTATTTTAAGTTCAGGGGCACATGTGTGGGATTGTCATATAGGTAAATTTGTGTCGTGGGGGTTTCTTGTACAGGCTGTTTCATCACCAGATATTAATCCTAGTACCCATTAGTTATTTTTCCTGACTCTCTCCCTCCTCCCACCCTCCACCACTGGTAGGCCCCATTGTCTGTGGTTCCTCTCTATGTGTCCATTTGTTCTCATTATTTTGCTCCCACTTATAAGTGCAAACATGTGGTATTTGGTTTTATGTTTCTGTGTTAGTTTGCTAAGGATAATGGCCTGTAGCTCCATCCATGTTTCTGCAAAGGACTTGATCTCATTCTTTTTTATTGCTGCATAGTATTTCATGGTGTATATGTTCTTTATCCAGTCTACCATTGATAGGCATTTAGGCTGATTCCATGTCTTTGCTGTTGTGAATAGTGTCTCAATGAACATACACATGCTTGTGTCTTTGTAATAGAACAGTTTATATTCCTTTGGGTATATACCCAGTAATGGAATTGCTGGGTCAAATGGTAGTTCCAGAAAACTGAACACTTTATAAACTCTTTTCCTTCTATCTATCTATACCTTCTCACACATGGATGAAAGGAACTATTGGCACTTTGAAATTCAGCCTGGAAATTTCCTTAGTTAGAATCTAGCAGTTCATTAGGTATTTTCTTCATTACCTCAAGTATTAGTGTTGCTAAAATTTCTGCCATTGCATAATACCAGTTATCATTTCTCCATGCTCTAATAACGTTTTCCCCGCTGTCTTTCAAGTCATCACCAGCAGTCTCCTCAAGGCCTTTATTCTAACTCATCAGGTCGCTCTAGTTTCTGACCGATTGTCTGATTCCAAAGTCGCTGCCACAGATTTTAGAGTTTGGTTATAGTAATACACTTCGTATAATTGTTTGCTACTCATTCCATGGAGAGATTGAGTCTCACTCTTCTCCCCTTCAGTCTTGACTAGCCCTGGTGCTTTCTTGACCAATGCATGGAGTGGAAGTGATATTCTAGCACTTCTCAGATAAAACCATTTGCTTTACAGATTGATCTGGGCCTCTTGAAACAGTTGGTCTTGGAGCCCTGAGCCCCTATGTTGAAGTATGACTACTTTAAGAATGCCATTTGAGGCTAGCTCAGTAGTATTTATTATTGTAAACTTGAAATAATCAAAAGGGTCAGAATCCAGTTTAAGAGAGTTTATTCAGGTGCAAAGGCTAGAATAGCTATTCAAGTAACACAGACTCCAAAGGAATGGGGTCAGTGCTCCAAAGGTGAAAAGGTCTTGCTCTTATAGTCAGAAAATAAAGAAATTTAATAGGATTATAACATTTTTTTAAAAAGCTGGTTTATGAGTTATAGCAATTTGATTAGTTATAGCAGTTTAGCTATAGCTGTTTTCCTTTTCCAATTTAAAAGAGTGCATTTAATATTCCATCTTAGACAATGTGATAGTCATGCGATCTTTGTGTCAGAGAAGTAAAAGGGAAGTTAAGCTATAATGAAGATCAATAGTGGAGAGGCAAGGGGTCTTCTCTGGCACTTTTTAGTCTTTTACAGTATTTTAGAAAACAACGTGGATAAAGAAAAGGTCAATCTATAATCAGAGGAACAAAAGTTACAGCTGCCTGTCATGTGATTCAGGTTGCATAAGCACAATCCTTTAAGGCTCAAAATAATTTAAAGTTCCAACAGCTTTGATTTTGAGTTGCTTATTTATATATCATGAATCTGAAATCCAAATTATTTCTAAGTATTAACTTATTGAGTGGCCCAGTTACTCTAAGATTGGGTCTTACCGTCAGTCTGATGGTCTAGTATATTACAAATAAAATATTATACATCCTTCAAAGTTAGTTTATTTATAAAGGGCAAGTTAAATTAAGAATGACCTCTAAAACGTAATCTAGAATCTTACATATTTTAAGGATTAGTAAGAATGGCCATCATGGAAATTTGATTTCTTTTCATGTAATTATTAGATTAGAGTAAAGAATTGGACTTGTAAAGCAGTCATAGAGCAGATTTGACCACCTACTGTGGAGCTCCAAAATGTTTGCAAGTTACTACTATAAGGCACCCCTAAACCTTTTAACTCTCCCATAGCAGATCTGATCTGGGGTTCCTGGGCATTTCTATACTTAATGACTCTAAGATAAATATAAGAAAGTTCTAATGTGAGTGAACCATATGATCAGAATGGCTTTGCAAGTCAGATTAAGGTAGTACCTGAGATGTGTATGTCTGAGGTCCCTAGCCCTGAGGATGATATATTAAGTACTTAAGCTCACCTGCAAAGTGCTATGTTATGCTCTTGAGCCAGAAGGGAGATAGATTTGACATAGTTACTTGTTATTTATATATCTTAAGTGGTGGCTCAAATAGTTTTCATTATACTTTGTGTTTATCTTTTTCCTAAACATTACCACTGTAAGAATGTTGAACAGCAGCGGGAATAATATATATTAGCACTTAGGTTTTCTGAGAGTTGGCACAACAGAATTTTTGTAGATATTTTTAGGGAATAGACTAGAACTGGAATATTTGAAAAATTGGGAAGAGTTTGTTTACAGTTAGAGAGAAATCTTATATGTGTCAGAAGTATGAAGGATATTTCTATGCAGAAAGATTTAATCACTTTTAGATCTGGAGTGAACCAAAGTAACGTCTAACCTAGTACTACCCAGTGACACTCTTTTGTCAACTGTTTCTTGCCTATGATGAGAAAAGAGATTCTACCAGAACATAAATCAGCACAACCCTCTCTTCATTCAGAAGGACTAGTTACAAAATGCTTAGTGAAATAGTCAATTTACATTTAGTTGTAAACCCCTTATCTTGTAGATTGTTCTTGGACAAACACTGATCTAATCGATTCCTATTATTTTTAGATAAGGAACTTGAAGCCCAGAAAAACAAATGAGATTTAAGTGAAGTTTCATATCTATTTAGTGGCAGGACTAATTAAGTAGAATGCAGATAACATGAGTACAACCAAGTTAAGTGTTCTTTAAGTATATCATATTGAGTCTGATGGATATTGCTGCTCACTAGAATTGATTTTTTAAACAACATACTCAAATGTTTAAGTATTTGACTGTCTTGATAAAAACTTTTGAACAGCATAGAAAGTTGTATTATTTTAAATGAAAAATATATGAACCTAAATTCACTCAGAACTACCACTGTGGAAAATATTCCAGGTTATGAATATGCACAGAAAAATAAAAGACAAAAATTAAAATAACTTTTGTGACAGGGAGGTCAAATGATAGGATATATTAATTTTTTTGTGAAATGTATTTTATTGCTGCTGTATTATTTGAAAACTTTTTAGTGTTGAGATTTATTTATTTATTTCTGCTCTATTGAGGTATACCTATACATAATAAATATTATTCATTTAAATGTACAATTTGATGAATTTTGGTAGATGTATGTAGTCAGGCAATCAGAATTACAGTAATGTTTTGGAGCACTTTAATCATTCCTAAAAAGTTTCTTCATGTTCCTTTGCAGTTAATCTCTATTCCCACTTCTGGCCCTAGGAACTGTTTCTGCTGCTATGATTTTATCTTTTCTAAATTTACATATAAATGGAATTATACATTATTCAAGCTTTTGAGTCTGCCTTTTTTTACTTATGATATTCTAGAGAAACATTTATATTGTTGTGTTTGTCTTTCTTTTTTATTGCTGAGTAGTATGCCATGGTTTGGGTGTAGCACATTTTGTTTACTTATTCATCAGCTGATGGACACTTGAGTTCTTTTCATTTCTTTTGGGAAAATACCTAGAAATAGAATTTCTGGTCATATGGCAAGTGTATTAGCCCATGTTCATGCTGCTGATAAAGACGTTCCCGAGACTGGGCAATTTACAAAAGAAAGAGGTTTAATGGACTTACAGTTCCACATGGCTGGGGATGCCTCACAATCATGGTGGAAGATAAAAGGCACATCTCACATGGCAGCAGACAAGAGGAGGGAGCTTGTGCAGGGAAACTCCAGTTTTTAAAACCATTAGATCTTGTGAGACTTACTCACTATCATGAGAACAACACGGGAAAGACCCACCCCCGTGATTCAATTACCTCCCACCAGGTTCCTCCCAAGACACATAAGAATTGTGGGAGCTACAGTTCAAGATGAAATTTGGGTGGGGACAGAGCCAAACCATATCATTCTACCCTGGGCCCCTCCCAAATCTCACGTCCTCACATTTCTAAACAAATCATGCCTTCCCAACAGTCCCCAAAAGTCTTAACTCATTCAGCATTAGTTCAGAAGTCCACAGTCCAAAGTATCATTTAAGACAAGGCAAGTCCTTTCCACCTATGAGCCAGTAAAATCAAAAGCAAGTTAGTTACTTCCTAGATACAATGGGGGTACAGGCCTTGGGTAAACACACCCATTCCAAGTGGGAGAAATTGACTGAAACAAAGGGGCTACAGGCCCTATGCAAGTCTGAAATCCAGTGGGGCAGTCAAATCTTAAAGCTCCAAAATAGTCTCCTTTGACTCCGTGTCTCACATCCAGGTCATGCTGATGCAAGAGGTAGGTTCCCACAGTCTTGGGCATCTCCATCCCTGAGGCTTTGCAGGATACAGCCTCCCTCCCGGATGCTTTCATGGGCTGGTGTTTTGTCTGTAGCTTTTCCAGGCACATGGTGCAAGCTGTCAGTGGATCTACAATTCTGGGGTTTGGAATATGGTGGCCCTCTTCTCATAGCTCCACTAGGTGGTGCCCCAAAAGGGACTCTGTGTGGTGGCTCTAACTGCACATTTTCCTTCTACAATCCCCTAGCAGAGGTTCTCCATAAAGGCCCCACCCCTGCAGCAAACTTCTGCCTGAACATCCAGGAATTTCCATACGTAGCTGCCAAGGCTTGGGCTTGCACCCTCTGAAACCACGGCCTGAGCTCTACGTTGGCTCCTTTCAGCAATGGCTGGAGTGGCTGGGATGCAAGGCACCAAGTCGTTACGATGCACATAGCACCAGGAGCCTGGGTCTGGCCCACAAAATCACTTTTTCCTCCTAGGCCTCCAGGCCTGTGATGGGAGGGGCTGCCATGAAGACCTCTGACATACCTGGAGACATTTTTCCCATTGTCTTGGGGATTAACATTCAACTCCTCATTACTTATGCAAATTTCTGCAGCCAGCTTGAATTTCTCCTCAGAAAATGGGTTTTTGTTTTTCTATCATTGTCAAATTTTACGAACTTTTATGCTCTGCTTTCCTTATAAAACTGAATGCCTTTAACAGCACCCAAGTCACATCTTGAATGCTTTGCTGCTTAGAAATTTCTTCTGCCAGATACCCTAAATCATGTCTCTCCAGTTCAAAGTTCCACAAATCTCTAAGACAGGGGCAAAATGCCACCAGTCTTTTTGCCAAAACATAACAAAAGTCACCTTTGCTCCAGTTCCCAACAAGTTCCTCATCTCCATCTGAGGCCACCTCAGCCTGGACTTTATTGTGCATATCACTGTCAGCATTTTGGTCAAAGCCATTCAACAAGTCTCTAAGAAGTTCCAAACTTTCCCATATTTTTCTGTCTTCTTCTGAGCCTTCTAAACTGTTCCAACCCATGCCTGTTACCCAGTTCCAAAGTTGCTTCAACATTTTCAGGTATCTACAGCAGTGCCCAACTTTACTGGTACCGATTTACTGTATTAGTCTGTTTTCATTCTGCTAAAAAAGACATACCCAAGAGTGGGCAATTTGCAAAAGAGAGGTTTAATGGACTTATGGTTCCACATGGTTGGGAAGGCCTCACAATCATGGCAGAAGGTGAAAGGCATGTCTCACATGGCAGCAGACAAGAGAAGAGAGGTTGTACAGGGAAACTCCTATTTTTAAAACCATCAGATCTCGTGATACTTATTCACTATCAAAAGAACAGCATGGGAAAGATCCACCCCCATGATTCAATTACCTCCCACTGGGTTCCTCCTATGACAGTTCCTCCCATGGAATTGTGGGAATTACAATTCAAGCTGAGATTTGGGTGGGGACACAGCAAAACCATATCAGCAAGTATATGTTAACTGTATAAAAATTTGACCAAATTTTAAAATGCGACTATGCCATTTTACATTTATGCCAGAAATATGTGAGGGTTTTTTATTTAGAAAAAAACCCTTAATTAAAAATTACTCAGTTCAAAAGGTGCATATAAAAGCATGCTTATTCTTATATATGATACTTCTAATAATTTTAGGTCCTGGATTTTATAATGTCTTGAACAATACTATAATTGCCAGTGTTAGAAATATCTGCTCAAAGAAACAGAAGAAAAGTGCATTTGGTTCTTCTGTTCCTCGGACTTTCTTCTCGGTTCAGAAAGAAGCTTGTGCTACCCCTGGACCTGCTGATTATCAGGTAATACATTCATACAAAAATAATATTCTTTATGTTGAATATCAAGCTCTTAGGGTTCTCTTGAAATTACATGTTATAATTAATAGAAAAGGATGTCAAATAGTTATTATAACCATGTTCCATATGTTAAGGAAAGTAGGAGAAATATTGAACATATTACATAATAGAGAAATGGCAGAAATAAAAAACACAAATTGAATTTCTAGAGATGAAAAATATAGCGTTTGAAAAAATATGCTCTGGGGATTTGTTCATGGGAAGGTGATCAGAAAGGTGAAGGCACATAAGTTTAAACCACGTAGCACAAAGAACATTTGAAAAAAATGAAGATGCTTAATATAGAGAAGTAAAGACTTAGGGAGAATAAACCAGACAATTGGTTTTAAAATGGAAAGCTTTCTAATATGGAGAAAGTTCTGTGTGACATACGGGATTCTATTTTTTTAAATTATGATTTTATTTTATTTTGTTTATTTTTTTTCATTATACTTTAAGTTCTGGGGTACATGTGCAGAACGTGCAGGTTTGTTACATAGGTGTACATGTTCCATGTTGGTTTCCTGCACCCATCAACTCATCAGTTACATTAGGTATTTCTCCTAATGTTATCCCTCCCCCAGCCCGCCACCCCACGACAGACTACAGTGTGTGATGTTCCCTGCCCTGTGTCCAAGTGTTCTCATTGTTTAATTCCCATCTATGAGTGAGAACCTGCGGTGTGTGGTCGTCTTTCCTTGTGTTAGTTTGCTGAGAATGATGGTTTTCAGCTTCATATCCATATAAAGGACATGAACTCATCCTTTTTTATGGCTGCATAGTATTCCATGGTGTATATGTGCCACATTTTCTTAAACTAGTCTATCATTGATAGACATTTGGATTGGTTCCAAGTCTTTGCTATTGTGAATAGTGCTGCAATAAACATATGTGTGCATGTGTCTTTATAGTAGCATGATTTATAATCCCTTGGGTATATACCCAATAATGGGATTGCTGGGTCAAATGGTATTTCTAGTTCTAGATCCTTGAGGAATTGCCACACTGTCTTCCACAATGATTAACTAATTTACACTCCCACCAACAGTGTAAAAGCATTCCTATTTCTCCACGTCCTCTCCAGCATCTGCTGTTTTCTGACTTTTTAATGATCACCATTCTAACTGGTGTGAGATGGTATCTCATTGTGTTTTGATTTGCATTTCTCTGATGACCAGTGATGATGAGCAATTTTTGTGTCTGTTGGCTGCATTACTGTCTTCTTTTGAGAAGTGTCTGTTCACATCCTTTGCCCACTT
Source organism: Homo sapiens (assembly GCF_000001405.40). NCBI lineage: Eukaryota > Metazoa > Chordata > Mammalia > Primates > Hominidae > Homo > Homo sapiens. The sequence goes on along the minus strand of NC_000004.12, from coordinate 97,970,984 downwards.
TTTGCTGGGGTTGTTTTTTTCTTGTAAATTCGTTTAGGTTCTTTATAGATTCTGGATATTAGCCCTTTGTCAGATGGGTAGATTGCAAAAATTTTCTCCCATTCTGTAGGTTGCCTGTGCACTCTGATGATAGTTTCTTTTGCCATGCAGAAGCTCTTTAGTTTAATTAGATCCCATTTGTCAATTTTGACTTTTGTTGCCATTGCTTTTGGTGTTTTAGACATGAAGTCCTTGCCCATGCCTATGTCCTGAATGGTATTGCCTAGGTTTTCTTCTAGGGATTTTATGGTTTTAGGTCTAACATTTAAGCCTTTAATCCATCTTGAATTAATTTTTGTAGAAGGTGTAAGGAAGGGATCCAGTTTCAGCTTTCTACATATGGCTAGCCAGTTTTCCCAACATCATTTATTAAATAGGGAATCCTTTCCCCATTTCTTGTTTTTCTCAGGTTTGTCAAAGATCAGATGGTTGTAGATGTGTGGTGTTATTTCTGAGGGCTCTGTTCTGTTCCATTGGTCTGTATTTCTGTTTTGGTACCAGTAGCACACTGTTTTGGTTGCTGTAGCCTTGTAGTATAGTTTGAAGTCAGGTAGCATGATGCCTCCAGCTTTATTCTTTTTGCTTAGGATTGTCTTGGCAATGCAGGCTCTTTTTTGGTTCCATATGAGCTTTAAAATAGTTTTTTTCCAATTCTGTGAAGAAAGTCATTGTTAGCTTGATGGGGATGGCATTGAATCTATAAATTACCTTGGTCAGTATGGCCATTTTCACAATATTGATTCTTCCTACCCATGAGCATGGAATATTCTTCCATTCATTTGTGTTCTCTTTTATTTCGTTGAGCAGTGGTTTGTAGTTCTCCTTGAAGAGGTTCTTCACATCCCTGTAAGTTGGATTCCTAGGTATTTTATTCTCTTTGAAGCAATTGTGAATGGGAGTTCACTCATGATTGGGCTCTCTGTTTGTCTGTTATTGGTGTATAAGAATGCTTGTGATTTTTGTACATTGATTTTGTATCCAGAGACTTTGCTGAAGTTGCTTATCAGCTTAAGATTTTGGGCTGAGACGATGGAGTTTTCTAAATATACAAGCATGTCATCTGCAAACAGGGGCAATTTGACTTCCTCCTTTCCTGATTGAATACCCTTTATTGATTTCTCCTGCCTGATTGCCCTGGCCAGAACTTCCAACACTATGTTGAATAGGAGTGGTGAGAGAGGGCATCCCTGTCTTGTGCCAGTTTTCAAAGGGAATGCTTCCAGTTTTTTCCCATTCAGTATGATACTGGCTGTGGGTTTGTCATAGATAGCTTTTATTATTTTGAGATACGTGCCATCAATACCTAGTTTATTGAGAGTTTTTAACATGAATATTGCGGGATCTGGCCAGCAGCCCGCAATGCAACGGGGCTGTCTCTTTGTTCCCAGGTGGATCGGCAGGTCAAGAAATAAAAGAAACACAGAAAATAGTGAAAGCTGGGTCCAGGGGGGTCACTGCCTTTTGGTCCTGTGATGCTGCCAATGCACTGGATATGCCAGCATTTGTTATTAAGTTTAGTGAGGGCAGGGGTAGGTTAGTGAGAGATTTACGGTCATTTGATTATGAGGTGAGATGGTCACATGGGGATGAAGTAATTCTTTGACATAACATCTGTGCAGAAGTACAGCATACAGAAATAAGAATTTACGACATAGTGTGTGCATCAGCAATTCCTAACAGCCTTAAAACAGAAACACTGTCTTTCCATAACCTATGATTAGCACGATATTAATCAGCAGTAACAGTTGCAGCAAAAGCTGTTTACAAACAATCCATAGATACAGGACCTGAAACTAGACAACTGGTTAGACCAGAAATTCTCAGAAGGGAGTATGTCTTAACCCTAAAAAGACCTAGAAGAGCCGTGGCAAGATGAGGGTGTTTATAGCCCTATCTTATCCATATGAACAGGCGCCCTTCATGCGTCTGTTTATAGGCTCTCCACAAGGGTTGCATTCCATTCCCAGAGCTATGAACCTTTGCTTTTTTGGGATAGGAATCTTGGTGATGTGAAACCTCCCTGACTGCACATCCGTTCATAGGCTCTCTGCAGGGGGAAGCACATCACGCGCTGTTGGCTCATTCTGGCAGCCCAGCCTGGCATTGTCTTTACACAATCCTGCATGCAATTTTGTATTTACAATAATCAGTTGCATTTCATCTTTTATTCCATAGCAATAGTTTCAGGGGGTCTCCCTACACATGAAGGCTGTTGAATTTTGTCAAAGGCCTTTTCTTCATCTGATGAGATAATCATGTGGTTTTTGTCATTGGTTCTGTTTATGTGATGGATTATGTTTACTGATTTGCATATGTTGAACCAGCCTTGCATCTCAGGGATGAAGCCAACTTGATCTTGGTGGATAAGCTTTTTGATATGCTGCTGGATTTGGTTTGCCAGTATTTTACTGAGGATTTTTACATTGATGTTCATCAGGGATATTGGTCTAAAATTCTCTTTTTTTGTTGTGTCTCTGCCAGGCTTTGGTATCAGGATGATGCTGGCCTCATAAAATGAGTTAGGAAGGATTCCCTCTTTTTCTATTGATTGGAAGTTTCAGAAGGAATGGTACCATCTCCTCTTTTTACCTCTGGTAGAATTCGGCTGTGAATCCATCTTGTCCTGGAAATTTTTTGGTTGGTAGGCCATTAATTATTGCCTCAATTTCAGAACCTGTTATTGGTCGATTCAGTGATTCAAAATTCGTGTAGAGGTGTTTATAGTATTCTCTGATGGTAGTTTGTATTTCTGTGGGGTTGGTGGTGATATCCCTTTTATCATTTTTTATTGCATCTATTTGAGTCTTCTCTCTTTTCTTCTTTATTAATCTTGCTAATGGTGTCTCAATTTTGTTGATCTTTTCAAAAAACCAGCTCCTGGATTCATTGATTTTTTGAAGGTTTTTTTGTTTCTCTCTCTCCTTCAGTTCTGCTCTGATCTTAGTTATTTCTTGCCTTCTGCTAGCTTTTGAATGTGTTTGCTCTTGCTTCTCTAGTTCTTCTGATTGTGATGTTAGGGTGTTGATTTTAGATCTTTTCTGCTTTCTCTTGTGGGCATTTAGTAGTATAAATTTCCCTCTACACCCTGCTTTAAATGTGTCCCAGAGATTCTGGTATGTTGTGTCTTTGTTATCATTGGTTTCAAAGAACATCTTTATTTCTGCCTTCATTTTGTTATGTACCCAGTAGTCATTCAGGAGCAGGTTGTTCAGTTTCCATGTAATTGTGCGGTTTTGAGTGAGTTTCTTAATCCTGAGTTCTAATTTGATTGCACTGTGATCTGAGAGACAGTTTTTTTGTGATTTCTGTTCTTTTGCATTTGCTGAGGAGTGTTTTACTTCCAACTATGTGGTCAATTTTGGAATAGGTGCAGTGTGGTGCTGAGAAGAATGTATATTCTGTTGATTTGGGGTGGAGAGTTCTGTAGATGTCTATTAGGTCTGCTTGGTGCAGAGCTGAGTTCAAGTCCTGGATATCCTTGTTAACCTTCTGTCTCATTGATATGTCTACTATTGACAGTGGGGTGTTCAAGTCTCCCATTATTATTGTGTAGGAGTCTAATGTAGGTCTCTAAGGACTTGCTTTATGAATCTGGGTGCTCCTGTATTGGGTGCATATATATTTAGGGTAGTTAGCTCTTTTTGTTGAATTGATCCCTTTACCATTATGTAATGGCCTTGTCTCTTTTGAACTTTGTTCGTTTAAAGTCTGTTTTATCAGAGACTAGGATTGCCATCACTGCTTTTTTTTTTTTTTTTTTGCTTACCATTTGCTTGGTAAATCTTCCTCCATCCCTTTATTTTGAGCCTGTGTGTGTCTCTGCATGTGAGATGGATCTCCTGAATACAGTACACTGGTAGTCTTGACCCTTTATCCAATTTGCCCATCTGTGTCTTTTAATTGGGGCATTCAGCCCATTTACATTTAAGGTTACTATGGTTATGTGTGAATTTGATCCTGTCATTATGATGTTAGCTGGTTATTTTGCCCATTAGTTGATGCTGTTTCTTCCTAGCATTGATGGTCTTTACAATTTGGCATGTTATTGCAGTGTCTGGTACTGGTTATTTGTTTCCATGGTTAGTGCTTCCTTCAGGAGCTCTTATAAGGCTCTTGTAATCTCTCAGCCTTTGCGTTTCTGTTAAGGATTTTATTTCTTTTTTACTTATGAAGCTTAGTTTGGCTGGATATGAAATTGTGGGTTGAAAATCCTTTTTCAGAATATTGAATATTGTCCCCCAGTCTCTTCTGGCTTGTAGGGTTTCTGCTGAGAGATCCGCTGTTAGTCTGATGGGCTTCTCTTTGTGGGTAACCCGACCTTTCTCTCTGGCTGCCCTTAACATTTTTTCTTCATTTCAGCCTTGGTGAATCTGACAATTATGTGTCTTGGGGTTGCTATTCTCAAGAAGTATATTTGTTGTGTTCTCTGTATTTCCTGAATTTGAATGTTGGCCTGCCTTGCTAAGTTCAGGAAGTTCTCCTGGATAATATTGTGAAGAGTGTTTTCCAGCTTGGTTCCATTCTCCTCATCACTTTCTGGTACAACAATCAAAGGTAGATTTATTCTTTTCACATAGTCCCATATTTCTTAGAGGTTTTGTTGGTTCCTTTTACTCTTTTTTCTCTAAACTTGTCTTCTCACTTTATTTCATTAATTTGTTCTTCAACCACTGATACCCTTTTGATTGAATCAGCTATTGAAGCTTGTGCATGCATCATGAAGTTCTTGTGCCATGGTTTTCAGCTCTGTCAGGTCACGTAAGGTCTTCTCTACACTGTTTATTCTAGTTAGCCATTCGTCTAACCTTTTTTCAAGGTTTTTAGCTAGCTTGCTTGTGATGGGCTCAAACATGCTCCTTTAGCTCGGAGAAGCTCATTACTGATTCTTTTTACTGATCTTCTGAAGCCTACTTCTGTCAACTGGTGAAAGTCATTCTCCACCCAGCTTTGTTTTGTTGCTGTTGAGGATCTGCAATCCTTTAGAGGAGAAGAGGCACTCTGGTTTTTAGAATTTTCAGCTTTTCTGCTTTGGTTTCTCCCCATCTTTGTGGTTTTATCTACCTTTGGTCTTTGATGTTGGTGACCTACAGATAGGGTTTTGGCATAGATGTCCTCTTTGTTGATGTTGATGCTATTCCTTTTTGTTTGTTAGTTTTCCTTTTAACAATCAGGTCCCTCAGCTGCAGGTCTGTTGGAGTTTGCTGGAGGTCTACTCCAGACCCCGTTTGCCAGGTTATCACCAGCGGAGACTGCAGAACAGCAAATGTTGCAGAATAACAAATATTGCTGCCTTATCCTTTTTCTGGAAGCTTCGTCCCAGAGGGGCACCAGCCTGTATGAGCTGTCTGTTAGCCCGTTCTGGGAAGTGTCTCCTAGTTCGTCTACGTGGGGGTCAGGGCCCCATTTGTGGAGGCAGTCTGTCTGTTCTCAGAGTTCAAATGCCATGCTGGGAGAACCACTGCTCTCTTCAGAGTTGTCAGACAGGGACATTTAAGTCTGCAGAAGCTGTCTGCTGCCTTTTGTTTCACTATGCCCTGCCCACCAAAGTGGAGTCTATAGAGGCAGTAGGCCTTGCTGAGCTGCAGTGGTCTCTGCCCAGTTTGAGCTTCGCAGCTGCTTTGTTTACCTACTCAAGCCTCAGCAATGGCAGACACCCCTCCCCCTGGCTGGCTGCAGCCTGGCAGGTAGATCTCAGATTTCTGCACTAGCAGTGAGCAAGGCTCTGTGGGCATGGGACCCATCGAGCCAGGCACAGGAGATAATCTCCTGGTCTGTCGGTTGCTAAGACTATGGGAAAAGCACAGTATTTGGGCTGGAGTGAAACAATTTTCCAGGTACAGTCTGTCACGGCTTCCCTTGGCTAGGAAAGGGAAATCCCTCAACCTCTTGCGCTTCCTGGGTGAGGTGATGCCCTGTCCTACTTCGGCTTGCCCTCTGTGGGCTGCACCCACTGTCCAACAAGTCCCAGTGAGATGAACCAGGTGCCTCAGTTGGAAATGCAGAAGTCACCTGCCTTCTGCCTCAATCACACTGGGAGCTGCAGACCAGAGCTGTTCCTATTCGGCCATCTTGGAATGGCACTACATATGGGATTCTGTCAAGACCAATAGGTGAAAACTGCAGAGATTCATATTTCAATTCAGTACAAGTAATAACTGAATTTTGTGTAGTACAGTTTTAAGATGTATAGTGTGATTTTAAGACAACAACAGAAGGAACAATGAAAAGCAAACCAGAAAAAATATGTGTAACAATTTAAAGGTAAGAATTGTTATATAACTACTTTGAAATCTGTTGCCCTTAATTGCTGATACATGAATTGTTATTTATTTTATTATATTTGTGGGATTCTTATAATTTAGATATTAGTTTTTTCAGGTTTTTAATGTTCATTAAAACTTATTTTTCTGAGGGTTTTCTATGTAAGTGTGCTCAAATAAGTCTATATTCTGTGCAAACATCTATTTTTATTCTTTTTTTATCATTAAGAGACAATTCTCTGTGTGTTTTGTGTTTCTACACACCTTTGCTTGCACCTCCTTTTTAAGGATGATTGTACATCCTTTTTAAGGATGATTGCCTTCAAAGATACAATGTCTCCCTCCTCAGCAAAGGGTGTGCTTACTGCTCATTATAAAAGATCCACGTTCCCAGAACTCACAGTTTTTCTCCCATTTTGTGTGCTAGTGTTTATTTTGCCCCATCTGCCTTGTCCCCAGTAAGACTTTAGGGCAAGGAGGACTGATGCAAGTGTGCTGTTCTCATGCTGTTTGTTATGCCATGAGGAATAAAGTCCTTTGTCTCTGACTCAGGAGTTTTGCATTTTTCTGTGAAACTGTGGCAGGTCACCTTTGTAACTTGAAGTAGGGCAAAATTTCAGACCCATCATAGTCCTTCCTATTCACATATCATTAACTTACAGACATTTTTCTTTTATTATATTTTGCTCCCACAGGTCCCAGTGGTGCATCTGATAGCCTCCTCAAAATAGCTCTCTAGTTTCTGCCAATTTAATTTATTTTTCATTAAATTTAAGAACATTAAATATAAGAACAAGTTTAACATACCTACATGTACTCTAAATTAATTTTTTTAGATTGCTAGATTTCTAGACTTTCAGTTTGAGTTTCTATCTGTCATCAACCTTTGATATTTGTCTTTAATTTCTATTGTTCATTTAGTCCGATATAAGTATAAATAAATATATATGTGTGTATGTATATTTCAAATACATATATATGTGTGTATATATATTTCAAATACATATATATGTATTTATATATATATGTATTTCAAATAGGGTCTCACTCTTGCCCAGGCTGGAGTGCAATGGTGCAGGTATGGCTCACTGCACCCTTGCCCTCCTGGGTTCAAGTGATCCTCCTGCTTCAGTCTTCTGTGTAGCTGGGACCACAGGCATGGGCCGTTACACCTGGCTATTTTAAAAAAATTTTTCATAGAGACAAGGTCTCACTTTGCTGCCCAGGATGATCTTGAACTCCTGGCACGAGTCCCCCTGCCTCTGCCTCCCAAAGCAGTGGGGTTACAGGGGTGAGCCACCACGCCCAGTATATATTTTTGTGGTAAAAAACATAATATTAAATTTATTAACTATTTTAAGTGCTGATATAAGTATATTTTAAATCCATCATGAATGTTAATAGTTTTTGGAACATTTCTGCTATATTTTGTTTAAAATGTACTAACAGTTCATTATTCTTAGTAACCTGACATTTAGATAAAAATAATTATTGTTTTTTTGTTTGTTTGTTTGTTTGTTTGTTTTTGAGATGGAGTGTTGCTCTGTTGCCCAGGCTGGAGTACAATGGTGCGATGTCTGCTCACTGCAATCTCTGCCTCCCGGGTTCAAGCATTTCTCCTTCCTCAGCCTCCTGAGTAGCTGGGATTACAGGTGTGTGCCACCATGCCTGGCTAATTTTTGTATTTTTAGTAGAGATGGGGTTTCACCATGTTGGTCAGGCTGATCTCGAACTCCTGACCTCATGATCCACCTGCCTCAGCTTCCCAAAGTGCTGGGATTATAGGCGTGAGCCACCACACCCAGCCAGAATTATAGTATTTATTCTTCACTGTAGATATTGAGAAGCCTAGCACAGTGATTATTAGCATGATCTCTGGACTCAGAGTGTTTGAATATACTTTTTTGCTCTGCCACTGATCTCGTGCAAGTTATTTAAACTCTTTGTACTTAGTAAAATGAAGATCATAATAGTACATACCTAAAAGTGTTGTTGCAATACTAAGTGAATCAAAAAACACTTTGAATATCTTCTGGAACACAGTAAGGACTCAGTAAATTTGCTATTCTTGTTGACAATTTAAAACTATCTACAGGTGTAACTAAGACTCAGTTTATAGAATATTTGACAAAATCTAAAATCAAGAGTGAAATATAAACCCTAAACATGTCTGATTTTTAAAAATTCAGTCTGGTAAACCTTGTGTTTAATTGCAGTATCAATTGATTTATGTTTAATTTGATTATCAACATGTTTGTGTGTATACGTATTACACTATTTTATGTATTGTATTGGTCCATTTGTTTTGCCACTTAATTTTTTTTTAAATTTCCACAGGCTATTGGGGACTAGGTAGTGTTTGGTCACATGAATAAATTCTTTAGTGGTGATTTGTGAGATTTGGTGCATCCATCATCCCAGCAATATACACTGCACCCAATTTGTAGTCCTTTATTCCTCTTTCCCTTCCACCCATTCCCCCTGAGTCTTCAAAGTTCATTGTGTCATTCTTATGCCTTTGCTTCCTCGTAGCTTAGGTCTCACATATGAATGAGAACATAAGATGTTTGGTTTTCCATTCCTGAGTTACTTCGCTAAGAATAATAGTCTCCAGTCTCAACCAGGTTTCTGTGAATGCCATTAATTCATTCCTTTTTATTGCTGAGTAGTATTTCATTGTAGACATGTACCACAGTTTCTTTATCCACTCATTGATTGATGGGCATTTGGGTTGGTTCCACATTTTTACAATTGCGAATTATGCTGCTATAAACGTGCGTGTGCAAGTATCTTTTTCATATAATGACTACTTTTCCTATGGGTAGATAACCAGTAGTGGGATTGCTGGATCAAATGGTAGTTCTACTTTAAGTTTTTAATGAAATCTCGATAATGTTTTCCATAGTGGTTGTACTAGTTTACGTTCTGACCATCAGTATAAAAGTGTTCCCTGTTCACTGCATCCACACTAACATCTATTATTTTTTGATTTTTTGATTATGGCCATTCTTGCAGGAGTAAGGTGGTATCACATTGTAGTTTTGATTTGCATTTACCTGATCATTAATGATGCTGAGCATCATTTTCATATGTTTGTTGGCTATTTGTATATCTTCATTTGAGAATTGTCTATTCATGTCCTCAGCCCACTTTTGGATGGGATTGTTTGTTTTCTTGCTAATTTGGTTGAGTTTGTTGTAGATTCTGGATATTAGTCCTTTGTCAGATGTATAGATTATGATGATTTTCTCCCACTCTATGGGTTGTCTGTTTACTCTGCTGACTGTTCCTTTTGCCATACAAAAGCTCTTCAGTTTAATTAAGTCCCAGCTATTTATCTTTGCTTTTATTGCATTTGCATTTGTTTTTGGGTTCTCCTTGGTCATGAAATCTTTGCCTAAGCCAATGTCTAGAAGGTTTTTGCTGGTGTTATCTTCTAGAATTTTTATAGTTTCAGATCTTAGATTTAAGTTCTTGACCCATCTTGAGTTGATTTCTGTATAAGGTGAGAAATGAGGATTCAGTTTCATTCTCCTACATTTGGCTCGCCAATTTTCCCAGCACGTTTGTTGAATAGGGTGTTTTTTTTTTTCCATTTTATGTTTTTGTTTGCTTTGTTGAAGACCAGTTGACTGTAAGTATTTAGGTTTATTTCCGAGTTCTCTATTCTGTTCCATTGATCTATGCACCTATGTTTATACCAGTACCATGCTGTTTTAGTGACTATGGCCTTGTAGTGTAGTTTGAATTCAGGTAATGTGATGCCTCCACATTTGTTCTTTTTGCTTGGTCTTGCCTTGGCTATGTGGGCTTTTCTTTGATTCTATATCAATTTTAGGATATTTTTTCTAGTTCTGTGAGGGTGATGATGGTATTTTGATGGGAATTGCATTGAATTTATAGATTGCTTTTGGCAATATGGTCATTTTCACAATATTGATTCTACCCATCCATGAGTATGGGATGTGTTTCTATTTGTTTTTTGTGGTCTATGATTTCTTTCAGCAGTGTTTTGTAGTTTTCCTTGTAGAGGTCTTTCACCTCCTTGGTTAGGTATATTCCTAAGTATTTTATTTTTCTTGAAGCTATTGTAAAAAGTTTGAGTTCTTGATTTGATTCTTAGCTTGTCACTGTTGGTATATAGAAGAGCTACTGATTTGTGTACATTAATTTTGTATCTGGAAACTTTGCTGAATTCTTTTACCAGTTCTAGGAGCTTTTTGGAGGAGTCTTTAGGGTTTTCTAGGTATACAATCATATCATCAGCAAACAGTGACAGTTTTATTTTCTCTTTACCAATTTGCATGCCCTTTATTTCTTTCTGTTGTCTGATTGCTCTGGCTAGTACTTCCAGTACTATGTTGAATAGAAGTGGTGAGAGTAGGCATCTTTGTCTTGTTCCAGTTCTCAGAGGGGGAATGCTTTCAACTTTTCCCCATTCAGTATTATGTTGGTTGTGGTTTGTCATAGATGGCTTTTATTACATTGAGATTTGTCCCTTCTATGCTGATTTTGATGAGAATTTTAATCATAAAGTGATGCTGGATTTTGTCAAATGCTTTTTCTGCATCTATTGAGATGATCATGTGAATTTTCTTTTTAATTCTGTTTATGTGATGTATCACAATTATTGACTTGCATATATTAAACCTTCCCTGCATCCCTGGTGTGAAACCTACTTGATCATGGTAGATTATCTTTTTGATGTGTCTTTGGATTCAGTGAGCTAGTATTTTGTTAAGGATTTTTACATCTATGTTCATCAGGGATATCCATTTGTAGTTTTCTTTTTTTGTTATGTCCTTTCCATGTTTTGGTATTAGGGTGATACTGGCTTTATAGAATGATTTAGAGAGGTTTCCCTCTTTCTCTATCGTTTTGAATAGTGTCAAAAGGATTGGTACCAATTCTTCTTTGAATGTCTGGTAGAATTCAGCTTTGAATCCTTCTGGTCCTGGACTTTTTTTTTTCTTGGTAAGTTTTTATTACCATTTCAATATCACTATTGGTTTGTTCAGGGTATCTGCTTCTTCCTGATTTAAGCTAGGTTGGTTGTATCTTTCCAGGAATTTATCCATCTCCTCTAGGTTTTCTAGTTTTTATGTATAAAGATGTTCATAGTAGCCTTGAATGATCTTTTGTATTTCTGTGGTGTCAGTTGTAATATGTCCCATTTTGTTTCTAATTGAGCTTATTTGGATTTTCTCTCTTCTTTTCTTGGTTAATCTTGCTAATGGCCTATCAATTTTATTTATCTTTTTTCTTTTTGTTTCATTTATCTTTTGTATAGTTTCAATTTCATTTATTCTACTCTGATCTTGGTTATTTCCTTTCTTTTACTGGGGTTAAGTTTGGTTTTTTCTTGTTTCTCTAGTTCTTTGAGGTGTGACCTTAGATTGTCTGTTTGTGCTCTTTTAGACTTTTTGGTGTAGGCATTTAGGGCTATGAACTTTCCTCTTAGCACTACCTTTGCTGTATCCCAAAGGTATTGTTAGATTGTGTTACTATTGTTCTGTTTGAGTAATCTTTTAATTTCCATCTTGATTTCATTGTTGACCCAGTGATCATTCAGGAGCATATTATTTAATTTCCCTCTATTTGCATGATTTTGAAGGTTCCTTTTAGAGTTGATTTCGTGTTTTATTCTACTGTGGTCTGAAAGAGTGCTTGTAATAATTTCAGTTTTCTTAAATTTATTGAGGCTTGTTTCATGGCCTATCATATGGTCTATCTTGGAGAACATTGCATGTGCTGATGAATAGAATGTATAGTCTGCAATTGTTGGGTAAAATGTTCTGTAAAGATCTGTTAAGTCCATTTGTCATAGGGCATAGTTTAAATCCATTGTTTCTTTGTTGACTTTCTGTCTTGATGACCTGTCTAGTGCTGTGCGTGAAGTACTGAAGTCCCCCACTGTTATTGTGTTGCTGTCTATCTCATTTCTTACGTCTAGTAGTAATTGTTTTATAAATTTGGGAGCTCCAGTATTAGATGCATATATATTTAGGATTGTGATATTTTCCTGTTGGACAAGGCCTTCTTTGTCTTTTTAAACTGCTGTTGCTTTAAAGTTTGTTTTGTCTGATATAAGAAGAGCTACTTCTCCTGGCTTTTGGTGTTCATTTGCATGGAGTGTCTTTTTCCACCCCTTTACCTTAAGTTTATATGAGTTCTTATGTGTCAGGTGAGTCTCCTGAATGGAGCAGAGACTGCTAGTTGGTAAATTCTTATTCCTTCTGCAATTCTGTATTTTTTAAATGGAGCATTTAGGCAATGTACATTCAATGTTAGTATTGAGATATGAGGTACTATTCCATTTATCATGCTATTTGTTGCCTGTATACCTTGGTTTTTTTCTTTACTTTTCTTTTTTTTTGAGACACATCCTCACTCTCTCACTCAGGCTGGAGTGCAGTGGCTCAATCTTGGCTCACTGCAATGTCCACCTCCCAGGTTCAAGCAATTCTTGTGCCTCAGCCTTTCAAGTAGCTGGGATTAGAGGCACTCACCATCACACCTGGCTAATTTTTGTATTTTTAGTAGAGACAGGGTTTTACCATGTTGGCCAGGCTAGGCTCAAACTCCTGACCTCAAGTGATCTGTCCCCCCTCTGCCTCCCAAAGTACTGGGATTACCAGTGTGAGCTACTGCACTGGGCCATTGTTTTTTGTTTTTAGTTGTATTTTTGTTTTGTAGGTCCTGTGAGATTTATGGTCTAAAGAGGTTCTGTTTTGATGTGCTTCTGGGATTTGTTTTAAAATTTAGGGCTCCTTTTAGCAGTTCTTGTAGTACTGGCCTGGTAGTGGCAAATTCTCTCAGCATTTGTTTGTCTGAAAAGGTTGTATGTTTCCTTCATTCCTGAAGCTCAGTTTCACTGGATACAAAAGTTTTGGCTTATAGTTGTTTTGTTTAAGGAGGCTGAAGATAAGGCCCCAATCTCTTCTAGCTTGTAGGGTTTCTGCTGAGAAATCTGCTTTTAATCTGATAGGTTTTCCTTTATAGGTTACCTGGTGCTTCTGCCTCACAGCTCTTAAGATTGTTTTTTTCCTCTTAACTTTAGATAACCTGATAACATTTTCCCTAGGCAGTGATCTTTTGTGATGAATTTCCCAGGTGTTTTTTCAGCTTCTTGTATTTGGATGTCTAGGTCTTTAGCAAGGCTGGGAACGTTTTCCTCACTTACTTCCCCAAGTATGTTTTCCAAACTTCTAGATTTCCCTTCTTTCTCAATTATTCTTAGGTTTGGTCGTTTAACATAATCCTAGACTTCTTGGAAGCTTTGTTCATATTTTCTTATTTTTTTTCTTTGTCTTTGTTTGATTGGGTGAATTAAAAAACATTGTCTTCAAGCTTCAAGTTCCTTCTTCTGCTTGTTACATTCTATTGCTGAGACTTTCCAGAGCATTTTGCATTTCTATTAGTGTGTCCATTGTTTACTGAAGTTTTGATTGTTTTTTATTTATACTGTTTATTTCATTGAATATTTCTTCCTTCATTTCATATATATATTTCACATATATATTTCATATATATTTCACATGTATATTTCATATATATTTCACATGTATATTTCACATGTATATTTCACCTATGTATATTTCACATATATATATATTTATTTCCTTAAATTGGGCTCTGACTTTCTCTGACGCCTTTTTGATTAGCTTAATAACTTTCCTCTGAATTCTTTTTCAGGCAAATCAGGGATTTCTTCTTGGTTTGGATCCATTGCTGGTGAGCTAATGTGATTTTTTGAGGATGTTAATGAACCTTATTTTGTCTTATTACCAGAGTTGGGATTTTGGTTCCTTCTCATTTGGGTAGGCTCTGTCAGAGGAAAGGTGTAGGACTCAAGGCTGTTTTCAAGGGAAACAAGATTAATTTGTCCCATGGGGTGTCCCCTTGCTGTATTATTCTCCCCCTTTTCCTAGGGGTGTGGCTTTCTGTGAGCCAAGCTGTAGTAATTGTTATGTCTCTTCTGGATCCAGCCACCCATCAGGTCTATTAGGCTCTGGGCTGCTACTGGGGGTTGTCTGCGCAGAGTTCTGTGATGTGAACCATATGTGGATCTCTCAGCCATGGATACCAGCACAATATTTGGGGTGTCTCCTGGCTCCTGCAGGAGCAATCTGCTTTTTTCAGTGGGTCTGTGTGTTCTCTCAGCTTTCTTGATTTATTTCTGTGGTAGGTCTGGAGCAAAAGTTCATGGTCTGAGACTCCACACACTGCTCTGTCCTTCCAAGTGGGATGCCATCTAGTTCTGCCTCCTGTCTGCCATGATTCCCATTATCCACTTTTTCTTATCTCTTTCTGTGTGGATTAATCAAATATTATAATCAAATAAAATATTAATCAAATATTTTATTTTATTTCATTTCATCAATATTACATTTTTAGTTTTTTTACTATTCTTTTAGTTTTTGCCATGAAAATTACAATAAGCATTCATGTATTGCAATCCAATAAGAAGGATGACCTTTACCACTTTCTCAATAAGACTGACTCAGAACATTTTAACTCCATTTTGTTATCTTGTATTTTGTTTAATTATTGTCAAACATTTTAAATCTACATATTTTAAGTTTTTTGAATATTATTATTTTGTTGTGTGGATTACTTTTTTTATTTATTTCTCTATTGTGCTTCATTCCTTTTTGCATTTGCATTTTTATGAAAAATGGAATCGTTTTTCTTCTGTCTGAAAAACTTCCTTTAGCATTTCTTCTGGTCCAGGTCTGCTGCTGAATTATTACAGTTTTTGTTTGTCTGAAATGTATTTTGTTATTTTTGAATGATTTATTTTTGAGTATAGATTTTTAGGCTGGTGATTATTTTCAGCACTTTAATAATATTTTGTTTTTTTAGACTTTCCATCTTTTCCATTGAGAAGTAAGCTGTCCAGCTTATTGTTTCTCCTTCCAGAGATATTGTCTTTGGTTTTTAACCTTTGATGTGTCTGAAGTGTTGTTTTCTTTTTAATACATTAGCCTGAGGTTTGCAGAACCTTTGAATCTGTGGGTTTATGTCCTTTATCGGTTTTAAATAATTCTTGGCTATTATCTTTTATGTATTTTGTCATATTTTTTCTTGCTGTCTTTCTGAGACTCTCATAAATATATGTGTTAGAACTATTCACCATGCCTCGAACACTCTTAGAATTCTTCTGTATTAGGCCGGGTGCGGTGGCTCACACCTGTAATCCCAGCCCTTTGGGAGGCCGAGATGGGTGGATCACGAGGTCAGGAGATCGAGACCATTTTGGCTAACACAGTGAAACCCCGTCTCTACTAAAAATACAAAAAAATTAGCCAGGCATGGTGGCAGACACCTGTAGTTTCAGCTGCTCAGGAGGCTGAGGCAGGAGAATGGCGTGAACCCATAAGGTGGAGCAAGCCGTGAGCCGAGATCGTGCCACTGCACTCCAGCCTGGGCGACAGAGTGAGATGCTGTCTCAAAAAAAAAAAAAAAAAAATTCTTCTGTATTACAACTTTTTTTGCTTTCATGCTACAGTTTAGATATTTCCTACTGAGTTATAATTTAATTCACTACTTTTTTTCATCTATTTCAACTACCATTAAATCAATCTATTGAGTTCTTAATTTCAGATATTGTATTTTTTTATTTCTAGAATGCCTGTTTAATTCTTTCTTAAATAATTCATTTCTCAGGACAAATTATTTACGATTTCAACTATTTCTTTTCTATTTTTTCATCTGTTTTATTGAACACATTAATCATAGTTTTAAAAAAGTTCTTGTCTGCTAACTCTAATATCTGGATCATCCATTAGTCTGTTATTTTATGTTTTTTTTCTCTTGATTTTTGACCATGCCTTCTGTTTTTTGGCATGCCCTATAATTTTTAATAGCTTGCCAGATACTGCATATAAAACATTGTAAAGATTCTAAATGATGTTATTTTCTACTAGTGAAATTTCACACTTTCCTCTGCAAGGTAGATACAGGTGAAGATAAAATTACATTAACCCAATTATGAACTGTGCTGATTACATTTTTGCCATTACTTAATTTACCTCTTGGTTGTTTCATTTTCTTAAGTGTAGTACTATGGGGATATCAAACATGAGCCTGATGTTTTTGAGGGTCCTTCTATCAGGTTCTTAACTTTACTCTTTGATGCCTCTGTATTTCAGTTTTTTGGCTTAGATTTTTAGCTTCACACTGCCTTTACTCCTTACAAATACCTTGATCAAGAAATAGGCCATGTGCTTTGAGGCTCCTCAAATGTGCAATTTTGTCATTCTGGCCCAAGAAGACACAGTTGCTTAGCAGCATTTCTCTGCCAGGCTAATCTCAAATTTTTACTCTGTTGCCTTTATCAGAAAATGCCCTGAGGGAGAGTGCACCTGCACACCAGTAGCTCACCTCTCAGAGGTCTACCCTCATCAGAATCGTAGGCTTCTGGTCTATGGTACTTCTACAACTCAATGAGGTCTTTAAAAATAGGATCTTGTTACATTTTGCCTGAATTTCTTTTTAATTATTCATGTAGAAATGTGGTCTTTTGTAAACTACTCATTTCCTCTAGAGCCAAAGCCATCCAATAAGTAATTAATTTCTTGGTAATTTCATTCAAAGTTGGTAACTTTTACCTCCTAAGTACTAAAAACTGCAAAATGTTTTGGAAATTTTTAACGTAATAATTTCTAGTACCATATATATGACAGTAATAAAATTATTGTAGTTTCTTTTTTCCAAGATGGCAGATTGGAGGCAAGTGTTACAATGCCTATTCTATTTGGAAAGACAAAATAGTGTATAGCAATTCTCACTGTGAACTTTTTTTCTGAGAAGCAATGCAGGAACTTAACAGGAAAACTGAAATAAATCACAGACCCTTTGAAAGAAGTGGCAGGCTGGCAGCCCACACTGTGAGCCATGTGAAAAACTTCTTCCTCAGAGTGTGAAAGGCAGAGAGAATGCCTCCAGGATACACACCCCAACTGGGGAACCTGGCAATCTGCCCATGGGGGAACACCTTAACTCTACCCAGTGCTAGAACTGATTTAAGGAGCAATGGGGAATATGAAAGTAGGAGCAGTGTGGGAAGAGCCTTGCAGGCATTTTTGGTCTCCAGTGTGAACCAAGGGAAGCCATTCCTGATTCTGTGTCATGGGGGGATCTCACAAAAATCTTCTAGTTAACTCAGGCAGGGAGAAGGTGGGAAGTGTGCTGCAGCCACAAGTGCAGGAGCTGCACACCCTAGCTTTACAGGCAGACTGGGAGAAGCATGGCCTGAAAGCTGTGGTTGCAGTCTCTGTGGGGAAGGCTTATGGCCTGGGGCATTTTGAGTTCTGAGCATTAAGTGCCTAGAACTTAGACAGCTGTTGCTAGCAGGTGTGAGTTTTGCTTTGCCAAGTGCATGGGAGCTGGACGGGGTTTACTGCCACCTGCTACTCCTGACTCCCTGTACAAACTCATTTGTACATCAGAGGCAGATATGCTCCTCCATAGAACATTACTCTAGTGGCCAACGAATTCCTCTGATGCTCACTGGGGCCACTGCTGCCCTGCATGGGTAGAGTCAGAGCGTGGAGCTACCTGATGGAGCCCCCACCTGGCTTTGCTCCTCCGTTTGCCCTAATAGCTTAACACAAAGGACAGAAATGTTTGGGAGCTCTATAGCTCTGCCCGTCACCTGAGAAACCACAGTATCTCCCCTGGGTAACATAAGGCAAGTACAAATCCCACCACTACTACCACAACTGAGACTCTTTTGCAAGCACCACCTCCTGGCTGGAGGCTGACTGACACAATGCATTACAGTATCTCCAAGTAGAACAACAATGTGCCCAGAAAGGAGAAAACTTGTGCATGACCTCTGCTATCACTATTGTCTGTATCATTCTGGCTACCAACCTGGCTAACCAGAGGTCCTGAGTCTGTCCATGTGACCAGTTCATTACTACCACCACCAGCATTTGAGAAAACCAACACACTAAGGCTATTTATAACGAAGGAATCTCATAGAGTCTATGACCCTCCCCTGCCATCCCCATCAGAGATGGTGCTGGTACCTGATGCTGGGAGACTTGAGGAACTGTTACATCAGTGGATCCCTTGCAGACTTTCCCAGCACCAACCTGGAGTGTGGCAACTCCACTGGGTTACTAGACCCAGAGGAACAGCAGCATTCATAGTGGCCTGGCTCTCAGGGACTCCTGGTCCTAGGCGAAAGGAAAGTATGCCACATTAAGGGGACGCTCCATGGGACAAAAGAATCCAGCTGGCAGGCCTTGAGTCCCAGATCTTTTTGCTGTTGGGAAGTTTCTTTCTTCAGAGGCACAGTTGCAGTACTGGGTTCAGCAGGGAAAGTCTGCAGCTGTACCCCAACAGTCAGGCAGCTCTGGTGCTCATGAAGGGTCTTGGAGAAGGGGAATTCTTTTTCCTCCCATCCACCACTGCAAGACACAACTGGGTCTTCTCTTACAGGTGTTCAGCATGGGTGCACCTAGACAACCTTTTTCAAACATTTCAGGGTGACTGCATCCTGGAGGATGCACCTTTCAGGTTCAGGTGTGGTTGAGAGGTAGAGTCAGAACTCCTCTATACTTGGAACATCAACATTCCTGAAGATGAAAATAGGTGCCTGTCTGATGGAATAGCAGGAATACTGGAACAATGGGTCATGAGTGTGTCTGGAATGTGGATTGCTTTTCTGCTGCCCTGACACAGGGGCGGAGGTAGCTCCCACCCTTTCCCCTGATAAGACCTCAGTGTACTTCTCTGAGAGCTTCTCCCAACCTCCAGCCAGCTCTGTCAAGGCTGGGACCTCTGCCTACCATTACATATTGCATTTACCCACCTGCTTTAATCACAACCAGTTTCTTCCCTGGGACGCCTATCCTACTAGCCTGAAGCCTGAGTTGTTCAACCCAGTAAATAAAATACTGGTGAATAAATAAATTAATTAAAAGCACACATCATGGGGGAATGAAGTAGGCTTCAAGAGACCTCTGCTATTCCAACTCCGTAGGATATAGTGAACTTGCTCACACACTGAGCATGTTGCTACCGAGAAGCATCTGAGAAGGTTATCATGCAAAGAGTCTCTATAACTAAAGCTCTCACACAGGGTCTTCACTCCTGAATGCACCAATTACTGAATTAGGCTACATTAAACTATAAGCTTTAAAGTCACAGTCTTAAGGGGGGAAAAAGAAATAAAAAAAAACACAGTCAAATAAAACATAATTTCAAGAATAATTAGAAGAAATAGTATACCCAAATGAGAAGGAACCAGAAAAATAATTCTGATAATATGACAAAACAAGGTTCTGCAATACACCCAAAGGTCACACTAGTGTAACCACCCAATGGGTTCTCCTTGCCTGCTGCCTGGAGAGAGCCAATTTATCAAGACAGGGGAACTGCAATAGAGAAAATGTTATTAATGCAGAGCTGTCTGTATGAGAGACCAGAGTTTTATTATTACTCAAATGAGTCTCCCCCAAAACTTGGAAATTGGGGATTTTAAGGACAATTTGGTGGGTAGGGGACAGTGAGTCAGGAGTGTTGATTGGTTGGGTCAGAGATGAAATCATAGGGAGTCAAAGCTGTCTTCTTGTGCTGAGTCAGTCCCTGGGTGGGGGCCACAAGACCAGATAAACCAGTTAGTTGATCTGGATGGTGCCAGCTGATTCATCAAGTGCAGGGTCTGTAAATATCTCAAACACTGACCTTAGGTTTTACAATAGTGATATTGTCCCCAGGAGCAATTTGGGGAGGGTCAGAATTGTGTAGAGGTAGCATGAGAGGAGTCCAGCTGCATGACTCCTAAACCATAATTTCTAATCTTGTGGCTAATTTGTTAGTCCTACAAAGGCAATCTAGTCTCCAAACAGGAAGG
This sequence comes from Homo sapiens, assembly GCF_000001405.40. Taxonomy (NCBI): domain Eukaryota; kingdom Metazoa; phylum Chordata; class Mammalia; order Primates; family Hominidae; genus Homo; species Homo sapiens. The sequence continues at coordinate 97,950,815 of NC_000004.12, read as the reverse complement.
GTGTTTGTTTTGGAAAAGGGCTGTTATTGTCTTTGTTTCAAAGTTAAACTATAAACTAAGTTTTCCCAAAGTTAGTTCAGCTTATGCCCAGCAATGAACATGGACAGCGTGGAGGTCAGAAGAAAGATGAAGTTGGTCTTTCACTGAAATAATTTTCTCAGTTATAATTTTGCAATGGCAGTTTCACTAGCTCTCTAGCAATAGATCCAAACCAAGATGAAATCTTGGAAATACCAGAAAACGAATTCAAAAGATTAATTACTAAGGTATTCAAGGAGATACCAGAAAAAGGTGAAAACCAACATAAAGAAATTTTGAAAAAATCAGCATATGAATGAAGAGATACATATTTTAAAGAGAAAAAAATCAGAACTTCTGGAAATGAAAGACACATTTAGGGAATTACAAAATGTGGTAGAGGTTTTAACAATAGGCTAGAACAAGTAGAAGAAAGAGTTTCAGTGCTTGAAGACAAGGCTTTTAAGCTAACCCAGTCAGAGAAAAATAAAGAATAAAGAACAGAAATGAACAAAGTTTCCAGGAAATAATAGATTATGTAAAATGGCCAAACCTAATAATAATTGGTGTTTTGAGGAATAAGAGAAAGTATAATGTTTGGAAAATTTATTTGAGATACTAGAGAAAGGTGAAAATTAACATAAAGAAATTAAAAAAATTTCAGGATATGAATGAAAAAATTTCTAAAGAGATAAATATTTTAAAAAGAAACAAATCAGAACTTCTGGAAATGAAAGACACATTTAGGGAACTACAAAATGCAGTGGAGGTTTTAACAATAGATTAAAATAAGTAGAATAATTTTTTGAGGAAATTGAGGAAAACTTCCCTGGCCTTGCTGGTGATTTAGATATCCAAATACAAGAAAGTCAAAGAACTCATGTGAGATTCATTGCAAAAACAAAAAACAAAACAAAAAACAAAAAACAAAACACAAAGGCATATAGTCATCTAGCTATTTAAAGTCAATGTGAATGAAATAATTCTAAGAGCCATGAGGCAAAAGCATCAGGTAACCTGTAAGGGAAAACCTTTCAGACTAACAGCAGACTTCTCAGCAGAACACTTACAAACCAGAAGGGACTGGGGTCCTATCTTTAGCCTCTTTAAATAGGATAACCATCGGCCAAAAATTTTGTATCCAGCAAAACTACGTCATTTTCAGACAAATAAGTGCTGAGAAAACTTTTTACTACCAGACCAGCCCTACAAGAAATGCTAAAAGGAGTCTAAATCTTGAAACAAAAGCCCATTATGCACCAGAATAGAACCTCTTGCAAGCATAAAACTCACACGGCCTATAAAACAATAATACAATGAAGAAAAAAAAGTAAGTAACAATTCACATGTTGATTGGAACAGTATCTTGATATTATGTTGAACGTAAATGGCGTAATGGTCCACTTAAAATATACAGATTGGCAGATTAGATAAGAAAAATCACAAACTAGATATCTTTGGTCTTCAAGAGACTCACCTAACATTGAGGGATTTATATAAACTCAAGGTAAAAGGGTGGTAAAAGTTAATCCATGCAAATGGAAACCCAAAGTGACCAGGAGTAGCTATTCTTATATTAGATAAAACAACAACAAACTTTAAAGCAACAGCAGTAAAAAATGACAAAGAAGATCATTATATGATGATAAAAGGATCAATTCAACGAGAAGATATTATAATTTTAAATGTATAAGCACTTATCCCTGGAGCTCTCAGATTTTTAAAACAATTACTACTTGACTTAAGAGAGGAGATAGAAAGCAACACAATTATAGTGGGGGACTTCAACACCCCATTGACAGCAGTATACAGATGACTGAGACAGAAATTCAACAAAGAAACAATGGTCTTAAACACTCTAGAACACATGGACTTAACAGATATTTACAGAACATTCTACCTAAGAATTTCAGAATATACATTCTTCTCATCAGCACATGGAACATTTTCCATGATAGACCTATATGACACACCACAAAACAAGTCTCAATAAATGTGAAAAAATAAAAACTGTAGCAAGTATCTTCTCAGATCACAGCAGAATACAAATAGAAATCAACTCCAGAAGAAACCCTCAAAACTATACCTATACATAGAAATTAAACAATCTGTTCCTGAATGATTTTTGTGTTAAAAATGAAATCAAGTTGGAAATTAAACAGTTCTTTGAAATGAATAATAGTGACATGAGTCATCAAAACTTCTGGGATACAGCAAATGCAGTGCTAAGAGGAATGTTTGTAGCACTAAATGCCTACATCAGAGCCTGAAAGACCACAAACTGACAACCTAATGTAACACCTCAAAGAATAAGAGAAACAAGAACAAACTAAGCCCAAATCTAGAAGAAAAGAAGTAACAAAGATTAGAGTAGAACTACATGTATTTGAACAAAAAATCAATACAAAATATCAATGAAACAAAAAGTTGGTTCCTTGAAAAGGCAAATAAAATTGATATAACTTTAGCTAGATTAACCAAGAAAAGAAGAGAGGAGATTCAAATAAGGTCAATTAGAAATAAAATTGGAGACATTACAACCTACACCACAGAAACACAAAAGATCATTTGAGATAGCCATGAACACAAACTAGAAACACAAACTATGCACACAACCTAGGAAATCTAGAGGAAATGGATAAATTCCTGGAAACCTACAACTTTTTTAGATTAAATTGGGAAGAAATAGCAACCCAGACCAGACCAATAACAAGCAGCAATATTAAATCAGTAATTAAAAATTGACAACAAAGAAAAAAGCCCAGGATCAGATGGGTTCACAGCTGAATTCTACCAGGCATTCAAAGAATTGGTACCAATCCTACTGGTGAAACTATTACAAAAGATTGAGAAAGAAGGAATCCTCCCTAACTCATTCTGTTAAGCCAGTGTTACCCTGATACCAGAACCAGGAAAGAACATAACAAAAAAAGAAAACTACAGACCAATATCCCTGATGAATGTAGATGCAAAAACTCTCAACAAAATACTAGATAGCTGAATCTATCAGCACATCAGAAAGATAATACATCATGAACAAGTGGGCTTCATTCAAGGGATGCAGGGATGGTTTAACATAAGCATGTCAGTAAATATGATTCATCACATAAACAATTAAAAACAAAAACCATATGGTTATCTCAATAGCTGCAGAAAAGCATTTGATAAAATCTAGCATCTTTTTATGATTAAAAACCCTCAATAAACTAGGTATAAAAGGGACTTAGTTCAAATTAATAGACACCATCTATGACAAACCCACAGCCAACATTATATTGAATGAGGAAAAGTTGAAATCATTCCCACTGAGAACTGGAACAAGATGAAGATCCCCACTTTCACCACTTTCCATTCAGCAAAATACCAGAAGTCCTAGCCAGACCAATCAGGCAACAGAAGGAAATACAGTGCATTTAGATTGCAAAAAAGGAAGTAAAACTATTGCTGTTCACCAATGATATGATTATATATCATAGAAAACCCTAGAGATTTCTCAAAAGTGTTGACTGGATAAGCCTAGAGATAAGATTAGATTTGATAATCAAATTCAGTAATGTCTCAGGTTACAAAATCAATGTACGCAAATCAGTAACACTGATATACACCAACAATGACCAAACTGAGAATGAAATAAACTCAATCTCCTTTAGCTGCAAAAAAGATAAAATATCCTGGAATATACTAACCAAGGTGAAAGATCTCTACAAGGAGAACTACAAAACACTGCCGAAAGAAATCATAGGTGACACAAACAAATGGAAACACATCCCATTCTCACGGATTGCAAGAATCAATATTATGAAAATGACCATACTGCCCAAAGCAATCGACAGATTCAATGCAATTCCTATCAAAATACCAGCATCATTTTTCACAGAATTAAAAGAAACAATCCTACAATTCATATGGAATCAAAAAAGAGCCTGCTTAGCCAAAGCAATACAAAGCTAAAAGAACAAATCTGGAGGCAGCACATTACTGGACTTCAGATTGTACTACAAGGCTGTAGTTACCAAAATACACAGTACTTATATAAAAGTAGACATATAGATCAATGGATCAGAATAGAGAATGCAGAAATAAAGCCAAATATTTACAACCAACTGATCTTTGACAAAGCATAGAACAGCATAAATTGGGGAATGGACACCCTATTCAATAAATGGTCCTGGGAAAACTGAATAGCTACATTTAGAAGAATGAAACTGAATCCCTACATCTCATTTTATATAAAAAGCAACTCAAGATGGATTAAAGACAAATCTAATACCTGAAACCATAAAAATTCTAGAAGATAACGTAAGAAAAACTCTTCTGGACATTGGCTTAGGCAAAGAATTCATGACTAAGTCTCCCAAAGCAAATGGAACTAAAACAAAAATAAACAAATTAGACCTAATTAAACTACAGAGCTTCTGTATAGCAAAAGAAATAACCACCAGAGTAAACAGACAACCCACAGAATGGGAGAAAATATTGCAAACTATGCATTGGGCAAAGGACTAATATGCAGAATCTACAAGGAACTCAAACAAACCAGCAAGAAAATAAAACAGTTTCATGAAAAAGTGGGCAACTGACATGAATAGATATTTATTAAAAGAAGATATACAAATGGCCAGCAAATATATGAAAAAATATTCAACATCACTAGTCATCAGGGAAATGCAAATTAAAACCGCAATGAGATACCACCTCACTCCTGCAAGAATGGCCTTTATTTCTATTATTATTTTTTTGAGACAGGGTCTCACTGCCTTACCCAGGCTGGAGTGCAGTAGTGTGATTATGGCTCACTGCAGCCTTGATCTCCCAGGCTCCAGGGATCCTCTTACCTCAGCCTCTCCAATAGCAGGGACCACAGGTATATGCCACCACACTCAGCTAATTTTTGTGTTTTTTGTAGAGATAGGGTTTCACCATATTGCTCAGGCTGATCATGAACTCTTGGGCTCAAGTGATCTGCCTAATTTGGCCTCCCAAAGTGGTGGGATTACAGGTGTGAGCCACTGTACCCATCCAAGAATGGCCAGTGTTAAAAAGTAACGAACAAAAACCAATAAACAAACCCAAAAAAACAATAGATGTTGGGGTCTTGAAAAGAGAATGCTTATAAATTAATGGTAGGAGTGTAAGTTAGTACAATCTCTGTGGAAAACAGTGTGGAGATTTCTTAGATAACTAAAAATAGATCTACGATTTGATCTAGTAATCCCACTACTGGGTATTTACCCAATGGAAAATAAGTCAATACATTAAAAAGACACCTGCATGTGTATGTTTATTGTAGCCAAATTCACAATTGCAAAGATAAGGAACCAATCTTAGTGCCCATTGACCAATGAGTGGATAGAAAAAATGTGGTATATATACACCATGGAATACTACTCAGCCATAAAAAAGAATAACATAATATCTTCTGCAGCAACTTGGATGGAGCTGGAGGCCATTATTCTAAGTGAACTAGCTCAGGAATGAAAAACCAAATACTGTATGGTTTCACTGATAAGTGAGAGCTAAGCCATGGGTACGCAAAGACACACAGAGTGATATAATGGACTTTGGAGACTTAGAAAGGGGAGGGTGGGAGGAGAATAGGGGGATAAAAAACTACTTATTGGGTACAATGTACACTACGTGGGTGATGGGTGCACTAAAATCTAAGAATTCACCACTGTACTATACATCCATGTAAGGAAAAACCACTTGTACCCCAAAAGCTATCGAAATAAAAATTATTATAAAAATAAGTTATTTTTCAGCTTCAAACAATTTAAAAACTACACAAAAATAATAATGCTGGCTTAGATGTTCTATATTCAAAGGCTTTCACATTTTTAAAAGATGTGACTGTGATTGTTCTATTTTTGAAAGTGATAGAAGCTACCTATATTATCTGGAGTGGATAGGTTGGAATAATATCATGTGGAAAAAAGTGGAGAAGTGCCATCTTCAGCATTTTGGGTAGAGGCAGATCATGTCACAGATACATTAGGTGGGTAATGGATGTTTTAGTAAATTAATGTTACCAAAAAATGGGCCAAGAAAGAAATATGTCTATTAGCTACTATGTGTCAAATTCTGAAATATTAACTATGAATATCAAATTCTGAAACAAAAACAGTAAAATGTGTAAAAAAATGGGAAAATAGATTCTTACCCCTTTTGCATATACAAAGGATGTTGCTGCTGTTTATTCTATTTAATTAAATGAATACAAATAAATTGTATGACAAAATAGAAAGTATCACAAGGATTAATTGCTCATTGAAATATTACATTACTAGATTCCTCTAGCCTATTAATTTAAATCTTCAATGCATATAAAGAATTATGATATTTAAGAGAGTGAGTGGATCATTTTGCTTAGAAAATATATTAACCCAGAATTGCCACAAAATTAAATGGTTAAATGTAAATATATTTTTATTAATAATAAATTGTTAAATAATACTATATAATTGGCTAAGTATCTTATACTAATATATTATTGAGACAGAACTTGCTGGTTATGAAATAGAACATAGCTAATATGTTTAAGTAATGTGTGCAGATCCATTATACTTACCTAGAGGTTCATATAATCAATTCTTTTTCCATTTTAATATCTCATTGACTTACAGCTTTTTCTTTCTGTGTCATATTTTGAAAATTTTATTTGTTTATGAATATGTGTCTTTATTTAATGCCAGATAATACTGATGAACTTCATTGCAAACTTATTATTTATAGTGCCTCTTGTATTGATAAAAATAAATGATGTACTCTTTTTAACCCCTTCTTTCAACAGGAATTTTGGCATTCACAGGGTGTGGGAATTTCTGATGAATTACCTAACTTGACTAACAAATATGCTGCTTTCTTGTCAAGAGCCAAAAGAACTATGAAAGTACCAGATATGGTAAGAATACTCCTACAATCAAATATTTTCATTATCTAGAAATCATGGAGGAGGCTGCATAACATAAACATTATATTAGGACCTGAGTGAGGTAACTGGTAGCGTGCTGTAACCTCCTTGGCTAGACCGATACTTTTATATTTTTAAAGTTCAACAAAATTCTTCAAGCTATGCCAAAGTCCAGAATTGCTATATGAGAGATTATTACATGCAACATCCCTTGTAGGGTCAGAGAACATTCATTCTTAGGACATATATGAAAGCTGAACTTGCTGTGTTGTATATGGAGCAAAAGATTTACTAGGTTCAACTCATTTTACTCATAGTGCAAATGTTTTCTCTTTTCAATGGAATTCGTCTTGAAATCTAAGACTCCCGAGTGATTTATTTTTACTCCTGTTGACCTGTATGTTAAATGGTATGGCTATAAATTTTTCTGAATTTCCATTTTTTAAAATAAATACCTAGTAGTGAGTAAATTGAAAACAGTGAAGCAGATTAAATTAAAAAATTAGTAGTTGAGCAATTCAGATTGAATTTACAAATATATCAAAGTAAAATTTAGAGTTAAAAAGTTGGACCCAGTGATAATGTTGCTAGAGTCTAAATGTTTGTATCCTCTTAAAATTCATATGTTGAAATCCTAACTCCCAAGGTGATGGTATTAGGAGGTGGCACTTTCTGGGAGGTGATTATGTCATGAGGGTGGAGACCTCATAAATAGGATTAGTACTCTTATAAAATAGGCCCAGGCAGGCTCGTTTGCCCCTTTTACCATGAGGACTCAGAGAAGATACTGTCTATGAGGAAGCAGGGCCTCTCCAGATACTGAGTCTGCTTGTGCCTTGGTGTTGAACTTTCCAGCCTGCAGACCTGTGAGAAATAAATTTCATTTACAAGCTACCCAGTTTATGGTATTTTGTTATAGCACTCCAAACAGAGAAAGACAAATGTTACAGTGTAGCCTTTTGTGAACAAGGTGTTATTAAAATACATTTTTGTAGAAATTGGACTATCTTGAGAAGATATTGTTAATAACAAATTTCAAAACAGGATTATTAAACAAGGTTTAAAATGTAGCTAATCAATGAAAACAGAGTATAACTTGCTGAAATAAAATTCTGCTACGTGAGATAATGCCAACAGTTGATTTGTAATATTTTTGATTGTAAAATAACTGGTACAAGATCATGATGAACTAATTTAAGGGAATGACAAATGCAATGCTAGTTAATATAACTCTGAATGTCTTGGAAATAATAGCAATTAGATTAATTTGGTGAAAGCTATTCAGGAGTGGACTTATTATTTTTTTTTCTGAGGCATTATTGGAATCTGAGATGTAGTCAAAATCAGCATCAGGTTCTATTCTATGAGATTTTTGTAATTATAAATTCAAAAGACAGTTTAAAATCATCTAGCAATATTCTTTACATGTAGTAGATTCTGAGTAATTTTTAACTAATAGTGCTGTTTTAATGGATTATTTCTTCATCTTGAGGAATTTTAGAGTTCAACTGTATTTTTCAAGTGAGTCATTGTTGTACACACCTCAGGATCCATTGTGAAGTATGCCATGACTAATTTATTACTAATATAATGCTTTTATGCTTAGGAGTCATTGAATGGATTCAAAGTTATTTCTATCATAATATCACAGGTAGTAGGAAAAAACAATGGAAATTTCTGAAAGCATCCATAGGAAGGCAGTATGTGTATATATATGTATAGATACGTTTTAAATATATATATATATACACACATATATATATTTAAAACGTATCTATACATATATATGTTAAACTTTGTAGTGAAAAAAGATGGTGCACATCTGCTCTAAAGGAAGACAAGTTGCTTCACCAATATTTTTGACTTAATTTACATATTTTTCTTTTAACTTTGTCCCTCTTTAGATCTGAAAACTTCTTTTTAGTGTTCTCTTTTCTGACATGAAACATTTGCAATTAAAATTATTCAGTGGGACTCTGGTTACCCAAGAAGCAGAATAGTTTAGTCACATAGAAAGCTTGGTTTTTAAATCTCTTTTGCAAATGACAATACACTTCAAACAGGTGGGTGTATAATGTGTATGTAATGAAAAATCCAAATTATTGATCTCAAAATAAAATTGAAATAATATCTCAAATGTATAAAGTAATGGAATTAATTTTATTATTTACTTTAAATAAAAATAAAATTTACCTCCCAGGTATTTTACTTATGGATATGCTGCAGTCTTAAAAGATGATTTGATAGCTTAATTTTCCCAGTTGTATCTTTGCATAAAAAATATAGCTCCCTTCCAGACTTCTGGTTTCATATCAAAGACTTATTTCTTTTACAACATCCCAGGGAAATATTTTTTATTCTTTTAAAAAAACCATGACATAAGCATTAGATGATTATAAATAGAAAGAAAATGTGACAAATGGAGGATGAACATAAACAAAACATCTGTTTACTGAGCATTCTAGAAGCAGAATGTTGAGACAATAATTATTTGATATAGAAAACAGAAAGTTGTTTCAAGCTGAATAAAAACATAAGTTACTGATTTGAGGAGCTTAACAGAATGCCAAGGAGGATAAATATAAAAATACCTATGTCCTTTTCACTTTTTTTTTCATTTTCAGAAGATCCTAACTAAAGCAAATATCCTTGAAGCTTCCACAGAGTAAAGTCGCTGGGTAACCCACAAAGGGATGAGAAATATAACTTATGTCAGGTACTAGCTTAGCAACATTAGCCGCATTTCAAGGCTAGGAGATGGTGAAGTAATATTTTCTTAAATTTCTCAGGGGAAATGATTTTGGATATAGAGTTCTCCCTCTACCTAAAGTTTCAATTAAATGAATCAAGAAAATAATTTTCTGACATGCAATAGTTCATAAAGTTTAGTAACTCTATGTCTTCATATGTGGAGTTGCTCCAGTGAAATAAAAAAAGGAAACAAAAGAATGGTGACATAAAGACAAAGATGAATATGAACCGAGCATTTCCTAGACAAAGTAAAGTGAAAATAATTAATGAAGAAGTCATTTTAGCTCATGTATGACATATTCTTCAAGAGGCAGGAGTTTGATGACATAAAATTTGTTACTTGTGTATGGCCACACTACTTGGCTCTGTAGGGAATAATAATGATAATATAAATCCTGCTTTAAAATTGGTTTATTTTAAAATCACAATAAAGTGATACAGGAGCTGAAGGATGAAATAGCTGGTATAAAAAAGAACCTAACAGGTCTAACAGAGCTGAATAACACAATACAAGAATTTCACAATGGAATTGCAAGTATTAATAGCAGAAGAAACCAAGCTGTGTAAAGAATCTTAGAATTTGGAGACTGGTTCTCTGAAATAAGACAGTCAGACAAAACCAGAGAAAAAAGAACAAAAAGGAATGAACAAAACCTCCAAGAAGTATGGGATTATTTTAAGAGGCCAAGTCTGTGAATCACTGGCATCCCTGAAAGGGAAGGGAAAAAAGCAAACAACTTGGAAAACATATTTAAGGATATAATCCATGACTACTTTCCCAATTTTGCTAGAGAGGCCAACAGTCAAATTCAGAAAATACAGATAACTTCTGCAAGATGCTACACAAGAAGATCATCCCTGAGACACAGAAACCTCAGATTTTCCAAGGTTGAAATGAAAGAAAGAATGTTAAAGTCACCTAGAGAGAAAGAGCAGGTTACCTACAAAGGGATCTCTATGAGGCTAACAGCCGACTCTCAGCTGAAACCCTATAAACCAAGAGACTGGGGGCCTATATTCAACTTTCTTAAAGAAAAAATCTTCAACCAAGAATTTTATATCCAGCTAAGTTAAGATTCCTAAGTGAAGGAGAAATAAGGTCCTTTTCAGATAGGTAGATGTTGAGGGAGTTCATTACCACCAGACCTGCCTTACAAGAGATCTTGAAAGAAGCTCCATGTATAGAAAGGAAACACCACTACCAGCTAATATGAAACACATTTAAACACACAGGACCAGTGTGACTGTAAAATAACCACATGAACAAGCCAACATAATAACCAGCTAACAGCACAATGCCAGGATCAAATCCATTCATATCAATACTAACTTTGAATGTAAATGGACTAAATGTCCCAGTTAAAAGGCACAGAAAGACAAGCTGGATAAAAAAGCAAGACCCAATTGTATGCTGTTTTCAAGTGACCCATCTTACATGTAATGACTCTCATAGGCTCAAAATAAAGGGATGGAGGAAAATCTGTCAAGCAAATGGAAAACAGAAAAAAAGCAGGGGTTGCAATCTTAATTTCAGACAAAACAGATTTCACACCAGCAAAGATCAGAAATGACAAAGAAGGGCATTACATAATGGTAAAGGTTTCAATTCAACAAGAAGACCTAGCTATTCTAAATATATATGCACCCAACAAAGAGAACTCAGATTTATAAAGCACATTCTTAGAGACCTACAAAGAGACACAGACTCCCACACAATAAGACTTCAACACCCCACTGACGGTATTAGACAGATCATTGAGTCAGAAAATTAACAAAGATATTCAGGAGTTAAATGCAACATTGGACCATGGATCTGATAGACCTTTTCAGAACTCTCCACCCCCAAACAAGAGAATATATACTCCTCTTATTGCCACATGGCACATACTCTGAAATTGACCACATCATTGGACATAAAACAATCTTCAACAAATGTAAGAGAACTGAAATCATACCAAACGCATCCTTGGACCACAGTGTGACAAAAATAGATGTCAAGACTATAAAAAAATCACTCAAAATCATGCAATTATATGGAAATTAAACAACATGCTTCTGAATGACTTTTGGGTAAATAATGAAATTAAGGCAGAAATCAAGAAGTTATTTGAACATAATGAGAACAAAGATAACACATACCAGAACTCTGAGATACAGCTAAGGCAGTGTTAAGAGGAAAATTCATAGTACTGAATTTCCACATCAAAAAGTTGAAAAGGAGGGGCAGACCCAAGATGGCCTACTAGAAGCAGTGGTGGTCAGAGGCTCCCACTGAGAAGAACCAAAACAGCATGTGAATCCTATACTGGCAACCAAGGTATCCAGGTTCTCTCATCAGGACTGACCAGGTGGTTCGCATGACCAATGGAGAGCAATGAAAAGCAGGGTGGTGTGTCGGCCCACCTGAGAGCCACATGGGGTAAGGGGCACCTCCAGCACCAGCCAAGGGAGGCAGTGAGTGAGCGTGCCATCCAGCCTGGGAAGCTCTGCTTTTTCCACAGATCTGTGCAACCCACAGATCAGAAGATCCCACTTGTGAGCCCACACCACCAGGGCCTTAGGTCACAACCACAGAGCTGTTCAGATTCTCAACAGTCAATTGGCTGGAATCTGGCTAAGAGTTCCTGCAGGGGTGGGTGGCCATCGTCACTGTGGCTGCCTGCTGTCTAAGCCTTCTGACTTAGTCACTGTGGCTACTGACTGCCTAAGACAACTGAGCTCCCCGAGGGAGGGATAGCCATTATCACTGCAGCTGCCGGCTGCCTAAGACAGCTCAGCTTCCCAGGGGAGGGATGACAGCTATCACTGTGGCTGCTGGCAGCTTAAGACACCGGACTCTTGGGGGTGCTGGGCAGCAGCCATCGCTATAGCTCCAGGCAGCTGTTTTTTTCCTGCTGGTGCCAGGGAGACTGGACTACTTGGTTCCAGGAGATATTCCCCACAGCGCAGCATACCAGCTGTGGCAGATCATGGCCAGGCTGCCTTCGTAGGCCAGATCCTGACCCATCCCTGCTCTCTGGGTGAGGCCTCCCTGCAGGAACTCCAGCAACTCCAGCCGGGGGCTTAGGGACAGAACTCTGATTTCCTTCAGTCTGAATCCCTAGGGGAAGGGGTGGCCATGGTCTCTGTGGACCTGCAGACTACGTCTTCCTTCCTGCTAGCTCTGAGGAATCTAGCAGCCCAGATGAGTGGGTTTGCCCCAAGTGCAGTACACCCCCTCAACCAAGCGACAGCCAAAGGGCTTCGTTAAATGGGTCTTGGTTCCTGCGCCCACCCCAGTTGTGCAGCAGCCCCCAACAGGGGTCAGCAGACACCATATACAGGAGTGTTCCTACTGACATTAGGTTGGTGCCCCTCGAGGTCAGAGATCCCAGAGGAAAGAGCAGGCACCCATCTTTGCTGTTCTTCAGCCTCCTCAGGTGACATCTCCATGTGCAGGAGGGACCCAGATGAATAGAGCCTTAAGTGAACCCTCAGCAAACCACAGCAGCCCTACAGAAGAGTGACCTGACTATTCAAAGGAAAACAAACAAACAGAAAGCAACAATAACAGCATCAACAAAAAAGTTCCTACAAAAACCTCATCCAAAGGTCAGCAGCCTGAAAGATTGACACTAGACAAACTCACGAAGATGAGAAAGAATTAACAAAAAACCGCAAAAATTCAAAAGGACAGAGTGCTTCTTCTCCTCGAAATGATCACAACACCTCTTCAGCAAGGGCACAGAACTGGACAGAGGATGAGATAGATGAATTACAGAAGTAGCCTTTAGAAAGGTGGATAATAACATACTTTGCTGAGGTAAAGGAGCATGTTCTAACCCAATGCAAAGAAGCTGAGAACCATGATAAAAGGTAACAGGAGCTGCTAGCTAGAATAACCAGTTTAGAGAGGAACATAAATGGCCTGATGGAGCTGAGAAACACACCACAAGAACTTTATAATGCAAACACAAATATCAATAGCTGAATCGATCAAGCAGAAGAAAGAATATCAGAACTTGAAGACTGTCTTGCTGAAATAAGGCAGGCAGACAAGTTTAGAGAAAAAAGAATTAAAAGGAACAAACAAAACCCCCAAGAACCTTGGGACTATGAAAAAATACTGAACCTATGACTGATTGGAGTACTTGAAAGAGAAAGGGAGAATGAACCAAGTTGAAAAACACAGTTCAGGATATCATCCAGGAGAAATTCCCCAACTTAGCAAGACAGGCCAACTTTTAAATTCAGGAATCCAGAGAACCCCAATAACATACTCCATGAGTAGATCAACCCCAAGACACATAATCATCAGATTCTCTAAGGTTGAAATGAAAAACAAAATGTTAAGGGCAGCCAGATATAAAGGCCAGGTCACCTACAAAGGGAAGCCCATTAGACTAACAGTGAAGCTCTCAGCAGAAACACTGCAAGCCAGAAGAGAGTGGGGGCCAATGTTCAACATTCTTAAAGAAAAGAATTTTCAGCCCAGAATTTCATATCTGGCCAAACTAAGCCTTATAAGTGAAGGAGAAATAAAATCATTTTCAGACAAGCAAATGCTGAGGGAATTCATTACCACCAGGCCTGCCTTGCAAGATCTCCTGAAGGAAGCACTGAATAAGGAAAGGTAAAACTGGTACCAGCCACTCTAAAAACACATTAAAGCACAAAGACCAATGAAACAATGAAGAAACCGCATTAATTTGTGGGCAAAATAACCAGCTAGCATCATGATGACAGGATCGAATTTAATAACATAACAATGTTAACCTCAAATGTAAATAGGCTAAATGCCCCAGTTAAAAAGCACAGACCCGCAAATTGGATAGTGTCCCAAATCATCAGTGTGCTGTATTCAAGAGACACATCTCATGCAGAAAGACACACTTAGGCTAAAAATAAAGGGGTGGAGGAAAATTTACCAAGCAAATGGTAAACAGAAAAAAGCAGGGGTTGCAATCCTAGTCTCTGACGAAACAGACTTTAAAGCCAACAAAGGTAAAAAGACAAAGAGGGGCATTACATAACGGTAAAGGGATGAATTTAATAAGAAGAATTAACTATCCTAAATATATATGCACCCAATACAGGAGCACCCAGATTCATAAAGCAAGTTCTTAGAGACCTACGAAGAGACTTAGAGTCCCATACAATAATAGTGGGAGATTTTAACACCTCACTGTAAACATTAGACAGATCATCAAGACAGAAAATTAACAAGGATAGTCAGGACTTGTGCTCAGCTCTGGATCTAGTGTAACTGATACGTATCTACAGAACTCTCCACCCCAAAACAACAGAATAGACATTCTTCTCAGTGCCACACAGAACTTACTCTAAAATCGATCACATAATTGGAAGTAAAACACTCCTCAGCAAATGCAAAAGAACAGAAATCATACTAAACAGTCTCTCAGACCACAGAGCAATCAAATTAGAACTCAGGATTAGGAAACTCATTAAAAACCGCACTACATGGAAGTTGAACATCCTGCTCATGTATGATTCCTGGGTAAATAATGAAATTAAGGCAGAAATCAAGAAGTTCATTGAAACCAATGAAAACAAAGAGACAATGTACAAGAAGCTCTGGAAAGCAGCTAAAGCAGTGTTAAGAGGGAAACTTCTAGCACTAAGTGCCCACATCAGAAAGCTAGAAAGATCTCAAATCAACACCCTAACATTACAAATAAAGCAACTAGAGAAGCAAGAGCAAACAAATCCAAAAGCTAGCAGAAGACAAGAAATAACTAAGATCAGATTGGAACTGAAGGAGATGGAGATGCGAAAAATTATTCCAAAATCGATGAATCCAGGAGCTGGGTTTTTGAAAAAATTATTGAAACTATGAAGAAACTTCATTAACTTCTGGGCAAAGTTAATGTAGCTAGCATAATAAAGAGGAAAAAAGAGAAGAATCAAGTGGACACAATAAAAAGTGATAAAAAGGATATCACCATTGAACCCACAGAAATATAACAATGATTAGATAATACTATAAACACCTCTATGCAAATAAACTAGAAAATCTAGAAGAAATGGATGAATTCCTGGACACATACACCACACCATACTACAGTAGGAAGAAGTCGAATCCTTGAATAGACCAATAACAAATTCTGAAATTGAGGCAGTAATAAATAGCCTATCAACCAAAAAACGCCCAGTATCAGATGAATTCACAGACAAATTCTACTAGAGGTACAAAGAGGAGCTGTTACCATTTCTTCTAAAACAATTCCAAACAACTGAAAAGGTGGGGCTTCTCCTTAACTAATTTTATGAGGCCAGCATCATCCTGATACCAAAACCTGTCAGAGACAAAACAAAACAAAAAAACTTCAGGCCAATATCCCTGATGAACATAGATGCAAAAATCCTCAATAAAATATTGGCAAACCAAAACCAGCACATCAAAAAGCTTATCCACAACGGTCATGTCGGCTTCATCCCTGGGATTCAGGGCTGGTTCAACATACGCAAAACATTAAGTGTAATTCATCACATAATCAGAACTAATGAAAAAACTATATTATTATTTCAATAAACACAGAAAAGGCCTTCGATAAAATTCAACATCCCTCATGTTAAAAACCCTCAATAAACTAGGTATTGATGGAACATATCTCAAAATAATAAGAGCCATTTATGGCATACCTGCAGCTAATATCATACTGAGTGGGAAAAAGCTGGAAGCATTCTCCTTAAAAACTGGCATAAGATGAGGATGCCCTCTCTCACCACTCCTTTTCAACATAGTATTTGAAGTTCTGGCCAAGGCAATCAGGTAAGAGAAGGAAATAAAGGGTATTCAACTAGGAAGAGAGGAAGTCAGATTGTCTCTGTTTGCAGACAATATGATCCTATATCTAGAAAACCACATTGTCTCAGCCCAAATCTCCTTAAGCTGAAAGGAACTTCAGCAAAGTCTCAGGATACAAAATCAATGTGCAAAAATCACAAGTATTCCTATACACCAACAATAGACAAGCACAGAGCCAAATCATGAGTAATTCCCATTCACACTTGCTACAAAAAGAATAAAATACCTGGGAATACAGCTAACAGGGAATGTGAAGGACCTCTTTAGGAGAACTACAAACCACTGCTCAAGAAAATAAGAGAGGACACAAACAAACAGAAATACATTCCATCCTCATGGTTGGGAAGAATCAATGTCATGAAAACAGGCATACTGCCCAAAGTAATTTATAGATTCAATGCTATTCCCATCAAACTACCATTGACATTCTTCACAGAATTAGAAAAAACTACTTTAAACTTCATATTGAACAAAAAAGAGAGCCCGTACAGCCAAGACAATTCTAAGCAAAAAGAGCAAAGCTGGAGGCATCACACTGCCTGCCTTCAAACCACACTACAAGGCTACAGTAACCAAAACAGCATAGTACTGGGACTAAAGGAGACACATAGATCAACGGAACAGAATAGAGATCTCAGAATAATACCACATATCTACAACCATCTGATCTTTGACAAACCTGACAAAAACAGGCAAGGGGGAAAGAATTCCCTATTTAATAAATGGTGCTGGGAAAACTGGCCAACCATATACAGAAAATTGAAACTGGATCCCTTCCTTACACCTTATACAAAAATTAACTCAAGATGGATTAAAGACTTAAATGTAAAACCCAAAACCGTAAAAACCCTGGGGGAAAATCTAGGCAATAACATTCTGGACATAGGCTTGGGCAAAGATTTTATGATGAAATCACCAAAAGCAATTTCAACAAAAGAAAAAATTGACAATTGGGATCTAATTAAACTAAAGAGCTTCTGCACACCAAAAGAAATTTTCATCAGAGTGAACAGGTAACCTAGAGAGTGGGAGAAAATTTTTTTGATCTACCCGCCTGACAAAGGTCTAATATCCAGAATTTACAAGGAACTTAAACAAATTTACAAGAAAAAACAACCCCATCAAAAAGTGGGCAAAGGACATGAACCGAGAATTCTCAAAAGAAGACATTTATATGGCCAATAAACAAATGAAAAAAAGCTCAACATCACTGATCATTAGAAAAATGCAAATCAAAACCACAATAAGATACCATCTTATGCCAGTCAGAATAGTGATTATTAAAAAGTCAAGAAACAACAGATGCTGGCAAGACTGTGGAGAAATAGGAACACTTTTATGCTGTTGGTGGGAATATAAATTAGTTCAACCATTGTGGAAGACAGTGTGGCGATTCCTTAATGATCTAGAACCAGGAATACCAATTGATCCAGCAATCCCATTACTGGGATATATATCCAAAGGAATACAAATAATTCTATTATAAAGATACATCCACACATATCTTTATTGCAGCACTATTCACAATAGCAAAGACATGGAATCAACCCAAATAACCATCAATGATGGACTGGATAAAGAAAATGTATTATATATACACTATGGAATACTATGCAGTCATAAAAAGGAATGAGATTATGTCCTTTGCGGGTGCATGGATGGAGCTGGAAGCCATCATCCTCAGCAAACTAACACAGGAACAGAAAACCAAACACTGCATGTTCTCACTCATAAGTGGGAGCTGAAAAATGAGAACACATGGACACAGGGAGGGGAACAACACACACTGGGGCCTGTTTGGGGCCCAGGGGGAAGGAGAGCATCAGGAAAAATAGCTAATGCATGTGAGGCTTAATACCTAGTTGATGAGTAGATAGGTGCAGCAAGCCAACATGGCACACTTTTATCTATGTGACAAACTAGCATGTTCTGCAAATGTGTCCCAGAACTTAAAATAAAATTAAAAAAAAATTTGGAAAAATCTCAAATTAACAACCTAACTTCACAACTTGAAAAATTAGAGAATCAAGGATAAATCAACCCCAAAACTAGTAGAAGATGAAAAATAGCAAAAATCGGAGCTAAACTGCAGGAAATCAAGACACGAACAAACATTCAAAAGATCAAAGAATCCAGGAGTTGGTTTTTGAAAAAATTAATAAAATACATAGGCCACTAGCTAGACTTATGAAGCAAAGAGAGAATATTCAAACTAACACAATTGGAAATGACAAAGGGAATGTTACTACAGATCCCACAGAAATAAAATCAGCCATCAGAAACTACTGCAAACATCTCTACACACAAAGTACAAAACCTAGAAGAGATGGGTAAATTCCTGGACACATACATCCTCCCAAGACTTGAACCAGGAAGAAATTGATTCCCTGCACAGACCAATAATGAGTTCTGAAATTGAATCAGTAATAAATAGCCTACCAACTAAAAAAAAAGACCAAGACCTGATGGATTCATAGCTGAATTCTACCAGATGTACAAAGAAGAGCTGGTACAGTTTCTACAGAAACTATTAAAAAAAATTGAGGAGAAGGGACTACTTCCTAACTCAGTCTATGAGACCAGGATTATCTTGATGCCAAAACTTGGCAGAAACACACACACACACAAAAAGATAAAAAAACAACAAACAACAACAACAACAAAAAACAAAAAAACCAAAAACAAAAAAACTTCAAGCCAACATCTTTATTGAATATTGATGCAAAAATCCTCAACAAAATACTTGCAAACTGAATCCAGCAGCATATCTAAAAGGTAATCCACCATGATGAAGTAGGATTTATTTCCAGGATTCAAGGTTGTTTCAACATATGCAAATTGATAATGCGATTTATCACATAAGCCAAACTAGAGACAAAAACCACATGATTATCTCAATAGCTTCAGAAAGGCTTCTGATAAAATTCAACATGCCTGCATGTTAAAAACTCTCAATAAACTAGGTATTGAATGAATATTTCCCAAAATAATAAAAGCCATTTAGGACAAATCCACAGCCTACCTTATACTGATTGCACAAAAGCTGGAAGTATTCCTTTTGAAAACTGTCACAAGACAAGGAAGCTTTCTCTCACCACTTTTATTCAGCATAGTATTGGAAGTCCTAGCCAGAGCCATCGGGCAGGAGAAAAAAATAAAAGGCATCCAAATAGGAAGAGAGGAAGCCAAACTATATCTGTTTGCAGATGACATGATCCTATATTTAGAAAATCCCATAGTATTGGCCCAAAAGCCCCTTCAGCTAATAGAAAACTTCAGATAAATTTAAGGATATAACATCAATCTACAAATGTCATTAATATTTTCATACACCAACAGTAGTCAAGCTGAGAGCCAAATCACAAATGAACTCATTCACAAAGGCCACAAAAAGAATAAAATACCTAGAAATACAGCTAATCATGGAGGTGAAAGGTCTCTAAAATGAGAATTACAAAACACTGCTCAAAGTAATGAGAGAAGACAGAAGACACAAACAAATAGAAAAACATACCACGCTCATGGATAGGAAGAATCAATATTGTTAAAATGGCCATACTGCCCAAAGCAATTTGTGGATTCAATGCTATTTCTATGAAACTACCAGTGACATTCTTCACTGAACTAGAAAAAAACCTTTAAAAAGTCATATGGAACCAAAAAAGAGCCTTAATAGCCAAGGCAATCCTAAGCAAAAAGAACAAAGGTGGAGGCATCATGTTACCTGATTTCAAATTATACTACCAGGTTGCAGTAACCAAAACAGCATGGCACTGGTACAAAAACAGGCACATAGACCAATGGAACAAAAAAGAGAGACCAGACATGAGGGCCATACATCTACAACCATCTGATCTTCAACAAATCTGACAAGAACAAGCAATGGGGAAAACATTCCCAATTCAATAAATGACACTAGCATAACTGGTTAACCATATGCAGAAGAATGAAGCTGGACCCCCTTTTTATACCATATACAGAAAACAACTCAAGATGATTAAAGACTTACATGTGCAACCCAAAATTCTAAAAACGCTTGAGAACAACCTAGCCAATACTATCTTGGACATAAGAACAGGTAAAGATTTCATGACAAAGACACCAAAAGTAATTGCAACAAAAGTAAAAATTGGGCTGGGCATGGTGGCTCATGCCTGTAATCCCAGCACTTTAGGAGGCTGAGGTGGGTAGATTACGAGGTCAGGAGATTGAGACCATCCTGGCCAACATGGTGAAACCTCATCTCTACTAAAAATACAAAAATTAGCTGGGCGTGGTGGTGCTTGCCTGTAGTCCCAGGTATCGGGAGGCTGAGGTGGGAGAATCGCTTGAACCTGGGAGGTGGAGGTTGCAGTGAGCTGAGATCATGCCAGTGCACTCCAGCCTGGTGATAGGGTAAAACTCCGTGTCAAAACAAACAAACAAACAAAAAAACTGGAAGATGGGATTTGATTAAACTTAAGAGCTCCACAGTAAAGGAAACTATCAACAGAGTGAGCAGACAGCCTACAGAATGGGAGGGAATTATTGCAATCTACCCGTCTGACAAAGGTCTAATATGCAGCATCTATAAGGAACTTAAACAAATTTACAAGAGTAAAACAAAACCCCATTAAAAAGTGGGCAAAGGACATGAACAGACACTTATCAAAGGAAGACATACATGTGGCCAACAATCAACTGAGAAAAAGTTCAACATCACTGATAATTAGAGAAATTCAAATCAAAACTATACTGAGATACCATCTGACACCAGTGAGAAAGGCTATTATTAAGAAGTGAAAAAATAAAAGATTCTAGTGAGGTTGCAGAGAAAAAAGAATGCTTGTAGAGTGTTGGTGGGAGTGTAAACTAGTTCAACCATTGTAGAAGACAGTGTGGCAATTCCCCAAAGATCTAAAAACAGAAATCCCATTCAACCCAGCAATCTTATTACTGGGTATATTCCCAAAGGAATATAAATTGTTCTACCATAAAGACACATGCATGCAAATGCTTATTGCAGTACTATTGACAATAGCAAAGACATGGAATCAACCCAAATGCTCATCAATGACAGATTGGAGAAAGAAAATGTAGTACATATACACCATAGAATACTATGCACCCATAAAAAAATGAGATCCTGCCTTTGTGGGAACATGGATGGAGCTGGATGCTATTATCCTTAGTAAACTAATGCAGGAACAGAAAACCAACTACTACATGTTCTCACAAGTGGGAGCTAAATGATAGTTACTTATAAACACAAAGGAGGAAACAGTACACACTGGGTCTACTTGAGGGTGGAGGGTGGGAGAAGGGATAGGAGTAGAAAAGATAAACAGTGGGTACTGGGCTTAATACCTGGGTTGTGAAATATCTGTACAGCAGATCTCTGTGGTACAAGTTTACCTATGTAACAAACCTTCACATGGACCCCCAAACCTAAAATAACAGTTAAAAAAAATAAAATTGGTTTATTTTAAATCAACTACACAAATAAAAGAAGACTTAATTATAAGACAGAATATAAACTTTATAAACCTTAATATAAAATAATAAAGAGATTGGGAGATAGTATATGTTCCATATTTCTCATTTCATAATGCAGAGTTAACAGATGTTAAAAATTCACAAATCAGTATTAGGCCTTATATTAAACTTGTAATGGTACATGCAACAAAACTAACCCAAACAAAATAAAAACAAAAACAACCCCACAACAAAAATCCCTTAAAGACCTAATTACTTAAAGGAATTATTTCTTAGAATGGACCCAGGGAGAGGTCAAAGGAGGACATTTTTACTGTTTATTTTAGACCCTTGTATATGATTATATTTTTGTTTATGAAGTGAAGGTATTATTTTGAAATAAAAGTAGAAGTAGTACTCAAATGATTTAATATGCATTTGGAATGGCACTATGATGTACTGGTATCTGTATTGACCCACTCTCTGAAAATAACAAAACTTCTACACAAAAGAAACAAAACATATTAATGAATTTTTCCAAGAGTTAGAAAGTAAGGAGTACACAATACACAGGCTAAATTAAGGAGGAACCCAGAGTGGCAAGTAAAGTTCTAAAGCTAACTTTCACCGTAAGGGCATTTGCCCTACCAGATGAGTTTAGGTTTTAATTTTTATGGCCAAGGAGGGCCTCTCAGATGGAAACCAAGTTTAAGACTCTTGTAGTGGGTAGTCTCAAAGAAAATTCATTAATACACTAAAACTCTAGTGGTCAACCTATGCAGGTTAAAAGTGAAATGCAAATAAATTTACCCTTTCTACTTACCAGAGGATTGAAAGGAAGATTGCCTGTGTTGAATGTTTTGGTTTTGAGTATGTGTTAGGGGAATCACCCTGAGAATATGTTATATTTCACTTTCATTTAATGAATTAAATTATTAAAAACCACAAAACACTGTGTATCACAGACATTGGTGACATTGATTTTATTAATGAAAATAAGAGCTAATGCTTATATAGTACTTATTCCATGCCAGGCACCATTCCAAATGCATATTAACTCATTGAGTACTATAGTTATGGTAATCTTTAAAAATGAAGAAATGGAGGCGCAGAGTTTAAAGTTTAAGTTGCAGAGCCAGAATTCAAACTGAGGCAATCCAATAGAAGTCACTCTCTTTAGGGTGATTTCATGGCACTTTCCTCTGGCTTGAAAAATTAGGGTTGACTAAAATGAATATGATAGTATTATAAACTTTTTTTGTGATTTTTTAAAAAGCTATATAAGCATAAAGATCTCGGATGTTATTATAAGGTATATAACTTTTTTTAAAAAATGTAATCACTATTGTTTAGCATAAACTGAGAGAGGATTCAGCATCATAAACAATACTGTTGAAGTTAAAACTTTCCTTTAGTTATTGAGAAACTAAAAGTTGACTATCAGGTTAGTGGGAAAGGCAGTAGAAGAGTTTGATATACTTTCTTAGGTCAATTTATGGCTCAGAAAGGGCAATCATTGGCTAGTGACGACTCATAACAAAATATATCACAAAAATTATACCAACATTTTCTAAAAGTTAACAAATGACTTGAAATTTCTTAGAATTATTTAGTGAACAATTTGTGCTACCTTTGTATCACTTATCAGTTATAATACATAGAGTTGAGAATGAAAAGGAATTTAAAAATAAATTTTGATTTATATATTAATTTGTTAATTTGAGTTGTTAAATATTTTGTGTATCATCTCGAGCTAGGTTAAAGTTTAACAGCAAAAGCTTTGGAATTAGAAAAATACTTTTTAAATCTCAGCTCCACTGCCTAGTTGCGTGAGTTTAGGCAACTTCTGTAAATTTCAGTTTCCTTAACTATTAAGTAAGGATAACAAGACGTACCTGATAGGGCCATGGTAAGAATTAAGTGTGTTATTACGTACAACATTTATTTCACTGTGTTGCCTATAGTAGGCTATAAGCCTACTATATTTTTAGCTATAAAAATTGTAAAAATGGTAGAGTTATGTTTCAAAGCTAAGTCAGTCTCATGCCTGTGGTCTCTTTTCATCATTCTATTAATATAATATTAATGAAGAACATGTCTCTTTTCATCATTCTATTAATATAATATTAATGAAGAACATGTTAAAATTTAGTGATGTCTTTTTGTTTTTCACACTTCCTTGAAAGTGAAACTCATCTTTTTAAACCAGAAGCTCCTTTGTCTTGCAGAGGATTAGAATTTCTATGTCAGAAATGCAAAGGCATGGAAAGAATAAGTGTTTTACTTCGGAAACATTTCTTAAAGTTCATTTCAGAGACAATAGTTGTGGGGAGCCATGACTTTATAATGGTTCTTGGGACCAGCAGGATAGGTGGAGCATGTTCTTCTAATGGTGATGGCAGAGATATAAAAGCATTTCTATGAGAAAGAGAATAGGAAAAGTACAAGATAGGGGAAGTCTGGTAAAATGAAAGAGAGAGCCCTTCTTGGATGGGAAGGACATGGAAGGATCAAAAAGAGTAGAAAAACAAGGGAATTGAGATCTGAATTTGAGGTCTGTTTTATGCTCTCTCACATTGTGGGTGAACCCTGGTAAGACTGGAGTTTGGGAAGTAGTGGTAGGATAATCACAGACTTGGGTCTAGAAATCCCAGGGATGATGAAGTATGAACTTCATTTTCTATCTGAAAGTCTGGAAAGGTGTTAGAGTAACACCCTCCTTGTCTCATGCAGTAGGTGGCTACTGCAGATCAAAATGCATAAAGATACATTTAGGTAGAGAGGGCCTATGATCAGTCAGGATCTAGTCAGAAGACAGAACCATACTAGTAGTTTTGAGATAAAATTGTATAAGGAATTATGGATATTGGAAAGCTGAAAAGGTGAAGGAACACTAAGGTATCATGGAGGTAGTGATACAGGAAATGCCACCGTCATTAAGCCTTGAGGAATAAAAGGTATAGGTTAGAATTACTAAAATTTGAAAGCTTGCAGAGATCTTATGGAGCTGGGATTCAGAATTCAGACTTCTGAAGAGGTGTCACAGGTCAGCTGGTAAAAGTGTCTCAGGAGCTCAAAATAAAGATCCCCTGGGCCTGGGACACAGATCCTTGGGATCCTGAAGATAGTAAAAACACATTAGAAATGAATTTCAGCTGAATAAGAATCAAAGTTATTCTGACTAAAAACTGTATTTTGTTACTCTCACTTCTTTCTTTTGTTATACTTTCTCATTGAATATGGAAAATTCTTAGATTCTTGGACAGTTTTTAGGGTTTGCTTTGTTGGTTGGTCTGTTGTTATCTTATTATACAACTAACCACTGATGGGAGACAGCACATTATAATAAATTTTCTTACTGCAGGGCCATCAGTACAAGTAAAGGATTTTAGATAAATGATTTCTGACACACTGAAGAGTGAATTGGTCATAGTGAACTTATATACTTCCTGTACTTCCATTACATTTTAAACTTTTTATAAATTTTTTATTTAATTGTCTAACTTCATTAGCTCAGAAAATGGGTTTGATAAGCAAACAGCAGGAATAAGTGCTGATAGTTGCCATCTTCATCAAGGCCGAGAAGGAACAGTGAAGGAAACTGCTGAACATGATGCACTGTGATAAACCAGATTCTAACAACTTAATTCCTGATTGAGTGCTATTGCCTGTCTGGTTATATAGATTGTGAAGAGAATGCAATTCAGAACTTCTAGGTTAGAACTTTTAGTTCTGGTTATTTTTATTTGCAGTACATAAATCTCAGAAGTAATAGATTTGCAAAGAAATAATTTTATCTTTACTCTTTGGTTGATAACATTTTCTCATGTGTTTTGAGAATGCAATCTGTTCTAATTTTGAAGGTGCCATATTCATTTAGAATGAACAACAACAAATGATTCATATTCTACATAATCTCTGAGAAATAAATTCTGCTGCTGCATCTATGGCATCCATCCAACATTTTGTATCAACAAGTCATTGTTTGGTAGAAAATGTGGGAGTGAAAAGAGGGACAATATATTAAAAATGATACAGAGATGATTAGCCAGGACTTTTAACTCCATAATTTAAGGTCCCTGATGCAAACATGACTTATCTACTACCTCTACATATGTTATAATATGGTATTATTATCATTAAAACCTCTTTATATCAAATTTATGACGAATAAAACATGACATTTAAAAATTGACTTCAAATGTCTAATCATCTTAAGATGAACATATTCATGAAGAGTAAACCTTGCATTAGTATATTTAAACATTTAAGAACTCATATCCCTTTTCAAAATTACCTCCCCTAATGAAGAAGGCTGTCATCTTTAATGCTGGATTTACATGTAGAAATATGAGTCACTGATATGCTTAACATAGTTATACTTTGACCAATTCAGAATATTAAAATTTTGAGCATCTGCTCCTAATTATATACAAAACTATGTACTAATGACCTTCCCATTGGGAGTTTTTAGGGGCAGACAAAAGTCCTATTGTATTACTATAGCATGTGTAGAGGAAAAGGCATTTTCCATCACATATGTTTAAAATGTTTTTATTAAGTAACATCCTATTGTGTCTGGAATTGGTGGGTTCTTGGTCTCACTGACTTCAAGAATGAAGCCGCGGACCCTCGCGGTGAGTGTTACAGTTCTTAAAGGTGGTGTGTCCGGAGTTTGTTCCTTCTGATGTTCGGATGTGTTCAGGGTTTCTTCCTTCTGGTGGGTTCGTGGTCTCGCTGACCTCAGGAGTGAAGCTGCAGACCTTCGCGGTGAGTGTTACAGCTCATAAACGCAGTGTGGACCCAAAGAGTGAGCAGTAGCAAGATTTATTGCAAAGAGTGAAAGAACAAAGCTTCCACATTGTGGAAGGGGACCCAAGTGGGTTGCCACTGCTGGCTCAGGCAGCCTGCTTTTATTCTCTTATCTGGCCCCACCCACATCCTGCTGATTGGCCCATTTTACAGAGAGCCGATTGGTCTGTTTTACAGAGAGCTGATTGGTCCATTTTGACAGGGTGCTGACTGGTGTGTTTACAATCCCTGAGCTAGACATAAAAGTTCTCCACTAGATTAGCTAGATACAGAGTGTTGATTGGTTTACAAACCCTGAGCTAGACACAGAGTGCTGATTGGTGCATTTACAAACCTTGAGCTAGATACAGAGTGCCGATTGGTGCATTCACAATCCCTTAGCTAGACAAAAAGATTCTCCAAGTACCCAACAGATTAGCTAGACACAGAGCACTGATTGGTGCATTTACAAACCTTGAGCTAGACACAGAGTGCTGATTGATGCATTTACAAACCTTGAGCTAGATACAGAGTGCCAATTGGTGCATTCACAATCCCTTAGCTAGACATAAAGATTCTCCAAGTCCCCACTAGACTCAGGAGCCCAGCTGGCTTCATCCAGTGGATCCAGCACTGGGGCCACAGGTGGAGCTGCCTGCCAGTCCTGCGCTGTGCGCCTGCACTCCTTAGCCCTTGGGCAGTCGATGGGACGGGGCGCCCTGGAGCAGGGGGCGGCACTTGTCGGGGAGGTGGGCCACACAGGAGCCCATGGCGGGGGGGGTGGGAGGGGAAGCGCTGCGCACAGCCCCTGTTCCCACCTGTGCCTCTCTCTCCACACCCCCCCGCAGGCTGAGGGAGCTGGCTCCGGCCTGGGCCATCCCAGAAAGGGGCTCCCACAGTGCAGCGGCAGGCTGAAGGGCTCCTCAAGCATGGCCAGAGTGGGCGCCCAGGCCGAGGAGGTGCCAAGAGTGAGCGAGGGCTGCGAGGGCTGCCAGCACGCTGTCACCTCTCAATATTATTATTATCAACACAAGTACATGGGAAACCAGTGTGGAAAACTAACAGTTTTATATAGTTGAAATGACTTTGGTAGAAAAATAAAATGACATTTGTAGAGAAAAGAGGGGAAAAGGAAAAGGCCAGAGATGCAAGGAGGAGTATAAAGAAGGAAAATAATGAGAGAAAGAAATACTCATGTTATAAAGTTTCATAGGGTACATAATGACACCGGGAAAAAAGCAGAAGCATGTTGGAAAAATTGCAAGTGGATTTGGAAAATTGCAATTATGGGAAGGAACTGCTGCTTCCAGAATGTAGAAGCCTATTGAAAAGGGGAAATCCCTTCTTCCCCTAACCTTGCATATGCTGTCTAGCATCTCCTGTTTGCAGGACCTAACAGAGAGCCATCTGGCAAAGCATAAATATGGTTTGCAGATTCCTAGGTTTGGAGCTGAGAGACAGTAGTTTAAAATTTCATACATTTCACCCCATTGGCTATTCAGCATACCTGTGCATTTTTATACATATTTGAACTTCCACACAGCACTACAAACAACTTTTTTTCTTAGTAATAAGATACAACCATTTTTTGTACAACAAAGGCATTCTCAGTTTCTTCAAAATGAGGAGACACAAGTTTTTAACAGTCATTTTTTTCATCTCTGGCCAAATTTAGTCAGGCCATCTAAATATTCTGTTACTTAAATGCTGAATTATACATTTTAAATTTATGGTTGTTGTTAACTGTTACATTATTTTTTCCTTTTTTTCTCCAGCTTTTCTAAGGAATAATTAGGAAATAAAAATTACATATATATATATATGACATACAATGTGATGTTTTGATGTATGTATTCCCTGTAAAATGATGTAATAAAACTAATTAACATATTCATCACCACAAATACATTTTTGTGGTTAGAACATTTAAGATCTTAACAATTTTTAAGTATATGACCTATTATTATTAACTTCAGTCATCATGCAGCTTATTCATCAGAACTTACTCTTCCTATCAGAAACTTTGTAACCATTGGCCTAAATCTCTCCATTTCTTCACCTGCCCTCCAGCTCCTGGAAACCACCATTCTACTCTCTGCTTTTAAGAGTTCAATTTCCTTACATTCAACATATAAGTGAAATCATGCAGAATTTGTCTTTCTGTATCTGCTAATTTCCCTTATCATAATGTCCTCTAGGTTCATTCATATTGTTGCAAATGACAGGATTTCCTTCTTTTTAAAGGTTGAATAATATTACATTGTATATATGTGCCACTTTTCTTTATCCGTTGATGAACACTTAGCCTTGTCGATCTGGATGTTCATTTTCTACTCCAGATCTGCGAAGTTTTCTGTCATATTTTTCAGTAACTTTTCTATCCTTTTTTTCTCTCTGCTCCTTCTGGGAAGTGCATAATGCATATATTGATTCAGTTGATGATGTCCCATATATGTCTTGTAGGTTTTTTGCTTTCTTTTTGTTCCTCTGGGTAATTTCAAATAACCTATCTTCATGCTCACTAATTCTTTCTTCTGCTTGATTTAGTGTACTATTGGAGCTCTCTGTGGAATTTTTCAGTTTTGTCATTGTCCAGAATTTCTTTTTGGGTTCTTTTCCATGGCTTCTATCTCTTTATTGAACTTCTAATTTTGTTTCCATATTGTTTTACTGATATTTGCTTAGTTGTCTGTGTTCTCTTGTAGATCACTGAATTTTCTTAAGACAATTATTTTGACTTGTCAGGCCACTTTGGAAACTGGGGTAGGTCTGGACTATGAGTCTGCAGGAATTGAGCTGGATCCTGGGGCTGCCGGAGCAGGATTGGTAGTGGAGTGGGCCTGGAGCCTGAGGCCATTAGTGCCTGCTTGGTCAGGGGTGCATGGCAAAGTTAGGTGATCACTTCACTCTCCTTCCCCCTATGAGGAGACTATCTCTGCCCACAGTATGCTGCCTGGGCTTGGGGATGGGAGTGACACAAATAATGTAAACCGGTACTTTCTAACCTCAATGCATCTTTTATTATTTCTGTGTTACACCCAGGTGCTGTAATGTCTCACCTGAATTCTTTAGCTCTTGTTAAGGTTATCCACAACATTTTGCTTGTGGACAGTTGTTCAAGTTGATGTTTCTGTAATGAGATGAGTGTTGGAAAGTCCTATTCTCCCATCTTGCAGATACCACTCTTCGTTGTTAATTTCTTGTAAGACTTTTAGAAAATAAAAAAAGGAGGGATAAGAGGAAAGATGAAAAAAGTTAACACACACACTAGGTAAAAAAGTTAATATGCATAGTTGCCACAGTCCTTATGTGTTAACTGGTCAAAGACCATAGGTGATATTTCTTACTTCTCACGTCTATGGTCCTGTCTATGTTTCCTTTACTCTCAGCCAGGTTGTCAGCTGTTCAGGGTTCTTTATTTGTTGGAATAATCTACACCCTTCATTTTTGAAGGATATAAATCCTCTGTGGCACTGCTTTTTTTTTTGGTTGATTTACATTTTCATTAACTCTTAATAAGGAGATAAAATTATTAACAGGAACCTCAGAGAATCCACTGACACCTGCCCTCACTACGTAACATCAACCCAATTTCCACTTGTTAATTGTGATAAGTCACCCCAGTCGGTAGAGAAACTTTTACTTTGGTCCAGTGGCACGAGTAGCATAAAATACTAGTTGGCAGTCTCAACTTTTAGTTTTGTAGAATCAGAGTGTGGAAACATTCCTTCCTTGAGAACCAAGACTTCTAAACAAGTACAGCTCAAAGTTGTAGAGACAAGAGGCAAAAATTTTGTGAGTGTGTGACAAGGCGAAATAGTGAGAAGAGCTATTTGAACTTCTATTCCTTGGTTGCTGGACTTATGAGTTCTGGATATGGGGAAAGACTGCACTAGATTGATGTCTGATACAAAGCCTGTTTTAAATTCTGTAAGCCAGAATCCTGTCCTCTCAGTGTTTTGTCTCTCAATTGGCACCATAATCGAGTTTTTGGCAGTCCTTTCTGTTCTTTTAGGCCAGCTACTTTTAACTGATGAAGATGTGTTAGACCTAGTAAATTCTATGGACATGAGTCCATTGTTACATTTCTTTTCCTCTGAAATTGTTCCTTGATGGGAAATAATATACTGCCTAACATGGCAGTACATAGGCTATTCAATAAATTCAAGGAGGGCAGTGTTGGCAAAAGTAAAAAAAAGTTATAGACAGGGAATGCAAATGTCCTTTCTTATAATGACCTTTTATAGGTTTGGGGGTCAAGGTATTCTGGGTTCTTAAAAAAGAGTATCCCCCTGAATTCACTGGAAGAGTTTTTACTAGGTTTTTTCCAAGATTGAGTTATTCTTTCTTAAATATTTATAAGAATTCACTGTTAAAGTTTCTGGACCTTAGATTTTTCTCCGTGAGAAGGTTTTTGAAAAAAATATTCAGTTCCTTTAATAAATATTGAACTATTTCTTCTTTTGTCTACTTTTATTCATTCAATTTTTGAGAAATATATCCATTTTTCAAATTGCCAAATATATTTGCTTAAAGTTAATCATAACATTCTCTTCTTTTTTTTGTGTTTATGAAAACTATAGTTAAGTTCCCTCTTTTCCCTTTGATGTTGGTGATTCGTATTTTCTTTTTTTTAATTTTTCTGTAATAAGTCTTACTAGGAGTTTATCAATATTTATACTCTTTTTAAAGAAAAACTTTTGACTGTTGATATTCTCTATTATATATTTAATTTCTATTTCTTTATATTTTTTCTTTTGCATTTCTTGTGATTTTCATTTGTTTTTTTTCTAGTTTCTTAAAATGAACCCTAAATTGATAATTTTCAGCTTCTTTTCTTTTTGATTATGTATATATTTGAAGCAGAAATCGCTTTCCTTAATGTGCTACATTAGCTGAATTCTACAAATTCTGTTATGTTGGTTATTTTCACTTAGTGTAAGATGTTTTTTAATTCATGTTTGTTTTTCTATTTTGACATATTTAGAAGTGTGTTTAATCCCTATGTAGTTTTATTTTTCATTATTTGTTATTGATTTCAAGCATACTTCCATGATTGAAGTAGAGCATACTCAATTATTTCAATCTATTAAACCTTGCTTTTAATTTTTAAAAATTATTTCAATAGTTTTTGGGGAACAGGTGGTGTTTGGTTACATAAATAAGCTATTTAATGGTGATTTCTGAGATTTTGGTGTACCCATCACCCGAGCAGTGTACACTGCACCCAGTGTGTAGTCTTTTTTCCCTCACCTGTCTCCCACCCTTCCCCCGAGTTTCCAGAGTTCATTATATCATTTGTATGCCTTTGTGTTCTCATAGCTTAACTCCTACTTATAAGTGAGAACATAGGATGTTTGGTTTTCCATTCCTGAGTTACTTTATTTTGAATAATGGTCTCTAACTCCATCCAGGCTGCTGTGAATGCCATTATTTCATTCCTTTTTTATGGCTTAGTAGTATTCCATGGTGTGTATGTGTGTGTGTATATATATGTGTATACATATACACATACACATATATATTTATTTATTTCCTGGTGAAAATTAAAAAACTAGTTTTTTATTACACATACACAGCATGGACCTATGGATCAGCATGTGACCAATGTGTGTGTGTTTGTGTGTGTGTATGTGTGTGTGAAAGTAATGACCCATCATCACTTTGTGATATATAGAGAGTTCTCCTTAATGCATAAAAAATTCTTAACAGTATACACAATTTCCTGTGCTGGCTTTCTCTGTATTGTTACAATATCAATTCAGAATCCTGAATTTATCTGGAACATCTTGGTTATCTCTGACAATTGTTTTCATCTATTTTGAAGTCTATTTTTATGAACTAGTTTTTTATTTTCACCAGGAAAGTTACCTTTTGTTGGAAAAGATAGGTATAATATAGGAGTTTAGTAATTTTTCTTTCTCAGTCTAATAAGTCTTTTATGAATATAATTACTCAAGAATTTTCACAAATTTACTGAGGAACATTTGCCATGAGATTTAGGTTTTTTTTTATCTTCCTTATATACGCATGCCTTAATTTTAGAAAGATTGTTTATTTGTTAAATGCAGAGTTCTCCATTGTAGTTTTGGTATCATGCTAGGTACACAGTAGGTTCTCAGTACATACTTTTATATTTAAGGAAGAATGCAAGTCAACAGCCACTCTTTTTTTTCCTATGAGTAGTGTCCTACCTCAACGGTGGAATGGATATAGTTATGAAATATTTAATAAGCCTAAAAAGATGAAATTTAGAGGATGTAGTCTAAGAGAAATCCTTTATCTTGTCTAAAAAAAAGTGTCCAGAGAGTGGGTTTTCTTTGACATTGTATTCTGCACCTATTTTAGTGTGCTTTTGTCCCCAGAGTTTATGAGATTAACAGCTCTTTGAGGTTATTTCTATCCTCTGTATCAAGATAGCTTTTAAGATATATTTTTACCTGAATATATTTTTAAAAGCTTAAGTTTATTGTATCTATTTGAAATTGCTACTATATTATTTTAAGTTTTAACCATTATGTTTTGAATTTTTTTTTTAGCCAGGGGTAAATTATGTTCTTACATAAAAATGAAAAAATATGAAAGTCATTTATTGTTTGCTGGTGTTGAACCCGTATTGAGATCTTCTCAATTTGTTCTCTTATTTTAAAAATCTTTTGCTTGCCCCTCGCTTGGCCTGGCTATGGCGGCAGTGCTCTGCAGGCAGTGCCTCTCTCAGTCGTTGCTCTGCAGGAGAGAGAGGCAGGACTGCGGCCGGCACTACCGCGCTGTGATTTGCGCAGAGCTGAAGAAGCCCCTGACGGTTGAAGAGGTGGCCCCCCGCCCCGTCAGGCCTCACGAGGTCACAGTTGATGTCCATTTCTGTGGAGTTAACTTTGCTGATGTTTTGGTCTGCTGTGGTGAATATTAGGAAAGGCCCCATCTTCCCTTCATACCTGGAATGGAGTTTTCTGGGACAGGATTGGAGACAGACACAGATGTCAGCACAGTTAAAGAGGGAGATAGAGTTATTGGCATAAGAAACTTTAAATGTATGGCTGAAGAATGTGTCACTGATCAGAAGAACCTGTGGCAGATTCCAGAAAAGTTCTCCCTACAAGAAGCTGCTGTCCTCCATTTATCTTATGGCACTGCTATTTTTGCTCTTGAGCATCGGCCCATACCCAACCTGGAGAAATTGTTTTAGTGATGGCAGCAGCTGGAGCCACAGGCCTTGTAGTGATAGATGTGGCAACAAATGCTCTTCAGGCCAAGGTAATAGCTGCTGCTGGAAGTGGCGAGAAGTGCAACCTGGTGATGCAGAGGGGCACACAGTTCAGCGTGAACTATAGTCAGAGCAGCCTGAAGGATGCAGTGAGGAAGCTGGTGGGCAAGGGTGGGATGAATGTGGCCATCAACATGGTGGGAGGAGACGTCTTCCTGGAGGCTCTCCACAGCCTGGCATGGGAGGGCAGGATTGCAGTGGTGGGATTTGCTGGAGGGAGCATTGTTTCGGTGCCAGCCAACCTTCTGCTCCTGAAGAAGGTCTCTGTGATGGGCCTGTACTATGGTCAATACAAAGAAATGAACTTTCCCGTCTTCTCCAGGAGCCTGTCTTCAGTGCTTCAGTACTGCCAACAAGGGCGCATCCAACCATATGTTGGAATGGTTTTCAAGCTGGAGGAGGTCAGTGATGCCTTCCTTCATGTGATACAGGGGAAATCCATGGGCAAGGTGCTTCTTGCTGTTAAATAAATCCTCACCTCAGCAGCAAAGTTAACATGTCCAGATCAAAACTCAACATATTTCCCCAAAACCTGATTTCCCTTCTGTGTTTCCAAAGGTGTTACCACTTTCCTTACTAATCCAGGTTTAAAGTCTTGGAGTCACCTTTGATTCCTTTTACTCATTGCTCCTAATTAATATGATAATATAGCTTATTGTCCAAACATGGACCTTTTGGAGAGTAAAAGGGTGCCATTTGTAATTACACTAGGAAAACATATCCCAGGCAAATCAGGATATATTGTCAGCCTACTTGATGCATTATGAAATGCAGTGATTGCCGAGTTCTGTCATTCACACCTCTAAGATATCTCTCACGTCCATATCCTCTTTTCCATTCTGACTAATTATGCCCCATCTGCTATCACCAGTGACCTTCTAACTGCTTTTCCTACCTTTAAATTACTCTCACCCCCTCTATCCTTGCAATGCATTATTGCCATGGTGATCTTCCCGAAGCATAGCTCTGACTATGTCCCATCTCAAAAACCTACAGTGGCTCACCATTGCCTGATGGTGGAGTTCAGACTCCTTGAGCTAGCATTTCATTATGACCATGATTTTTCCCTGCATCACTTTCCAGCCTTATGGTCCACAATTCCACTGGGCCCTAAGTATGTACTGAACTTTCCTGCCTCCGTCATTTTGCTCTGCTTGTACAATTTTTTTCCACCCTCTATCTCTGTCAAACATAAGCCTTCCTGACCTCTAAGACCTACCTTTGTCATGTGCCTTTACCCTCAGGCAAGGGGCAGTCTCTTCTCTTCCTCTTCTACCTTCCTGGAGCTTCCCCAGGATTTGTCACATTCTGCCTTGAATCATAGGGAACAACATGTATAGTGGAATGAACACAGGCCTCTGAATCCAAGATGTGAGTTTAAATCCCAGCTTTGGAGGTGGTTACTTAAGGTCTCAGTGCCTTCATTTTTCTCCCTATATAAAATGGATGTTACAGTATCTACCTCACAGAGTCATTGGGAGCTATATATGCAGTGATTGGGTAAAACACTTGGCACATGGCAAGCAATTAGTAAATGCTGGTTACGTCTACTTCCTTTTCTTCTCTTTTCCCAGTGTATCGTAAATTCCTTAAGAGCAGGCACCATGTCTGATTTACCCTTGTACTTCCCACAGTACTTCCCATAGTGAGTTACCCTTAGTAACTACTCAGTAAGTTGAATTTAATTTAAATTACCTGTAAGTCTTAAACTGTGGGATTAAATTAAGAATATGTTGTCCTGGAAACACCCAAATATCTATCACTAGATGAATGGATAAACAAATTGTGGTATACACATAATGGAATATTATTCAGCCTTAAAAAGGAATGAAATTCTGACGTGCTATAATATGATGAACCTTGAGGACATTATATGTGAAATAAGCCAGACAGAAAAGGACAAATACTATATGATTCCACTTATATGAAGTACCTAGAGTAGTGAAATTCATAGAAACAGAAAGTACACGTTGACATCCCAAATCTGAAATGGGAAACGCTCCAAAATCTGAAACTTTTTGAATGCCGACATGATGCTCAAAGAAAATGCTCATTGGAGCATTTCAGATTTTGGATTTTTGGATTTGGGATGCTCAATTGGCATAATGCGAGTATTCCAAACTCCAAAAAAATCTGAAGTCCAAAACACTTCTGGTCTCAAGAATTTTGGATAAAGAATACTCAGTGTGCAACTTGTAGAATGGTGGTTGCAAGTGGGGAGGAGAGAATGGAGAGTTATTGTTTAATGGTACAATGTTTCTGTTTGGGAAGATGGAAAGTTTTGGAGGTGTGTGGTGGTTATGGTTATGCAACAATGGTAAGGTACTTAGTACTGCTTAACTGTACACTTAAAAATTATAAAAATGATACATTTTATGTGTCTTACAACAATAAAAAAAGTTAAAAAAAATCTTTTCATGACCTAGTATTTTATTTTCCTGGTGAGCTATTTGATGCCTGTTTTCTTAAGTTTAGTTCAGTATGCTGATTCTTTTTTTTACAGTGATGGTGGACCACTATTACAATGTTTTCAATTGGGCTTCAGAGAATCCTCAGATTAGTTGTGTTTACCTTAAAAGAAATTTCTTGGAATATATGATGAGCAATCAGTTTAACTTGGGGTAATAATTTACTTTCAGACAAAGATTACTCTGAAAACAGCTCTATAGAGGGAGATTTTCGTGCTTGTTGGTGTCAAGCACTGTGTGTATCCAGTTCAGATAAATCATTTCAAAGGTTTGATTGTATTGCATGTGTAGGTCTATGTTTCATAGCTGTTACGTATCGTAGAAATTTTACTTTTAGTACCTTATTCTGAATGTACAGCTTTGATTTGAGCTTGAATATTCTCAGGATTTGCAATTATAATTTTATGTTATTTCTGATTGAAATAAACACTCAAAGTCAGGAAGTATCTAAAAATTATATTATTGTAAATGTTAAAATTTTTCTTCAACTTGCTCATTTAAATTTGCTTATTAAATTTAATATATTCACACTTAAATTTCAAATTTAGCATCAGATTATGTAGAACATTTTGGGGTTTATGTATGCACTAGAAAGTTTTAAAATTTGAAACCTATTGATTCTGATATTTGTTTTATTTATCAACATTATGAAGCCCCTATAAGGAATGAGGATTTTTACTCTTTATTCCATAATGTGGAGGTGTGTGTTCCACTACTGATGACCCTTGGGAATATTGCCAAACTTGGAATTACCTATCACTGTGCACTGTAATCTTAATTGATAATTTAAAGCTATACTATCATTATTATATGCGCAAGGAGGAGGAGCTGTTCTATAGGTTAGGAACCCAATAAGTTATTTATGTCTATAGCCTATCGTCTTCCTTGACTTCAGACATATTCATACTTGTCTCTCTGATGTCTCAACTTGGATTTCTAATTGGTATTTCTAATTTTAATGCATCCAAAACCAATCAGTTTTTGTAACTTCTTTATTTGCTCTAATTCCAAACAAACAGCATGTAAGTATTGGAAAATACAGCTCAAGTGATGGATTAGGCAGATACCGGTTTTGAGGGAAGTAAAATTTGAGCTTGTTCTTAAAGTTAATAAAGTGATTGATAAAGATGAAGAAAAATAGAATCATTTGTTAACTTCCCAGGACAGCTTATTTATTCTCCTTCATTGCCTGTTTCTGTCTCTGTCACAACTCTGAATTTTCCTTGAAGCTTATATTATACAAACTATTTTCAGAATAAAGCTGAATTTTAGCACAATTATAAAATACCTATTATGTTGTTAGCATTCTTGGAAGATAGACATCAGCGTAAATTTGTTCTGCTAAAAGAACTTTTTGTTAGAAGCTATCAGGTCCTTCTAAGCTTTATCATAAAGGTATCTCTTTCCTCTTTAGAATTGTATTATTGGGTCATTAGTACAATTAGATGTCTCCATTTTATGGTAGGTCAAAATTATTTGTCACTTATTTAGGCCAGCGTTTCTCAACTCTTAAAAAGCTTCTTAGAATCATCTAGAGAACTTTACAAAATGCCAATGCATGGCATCTCCTAGATGATATCCTGCAGTATGCTTTCCAACTTGATTCTGTTCTTTCTGTCTCTTTCAGGCACCTCAATCATTCATAGGTTTGGTCTTTTTAAATTATCCCAAATTTCTTGGAGGCTTTGTTATTCCTTTTCATTCTTTTTTGTTCATTCCTTCTCATTCTTTTCTCTCTATTCTTGTTTGCCTGTCTCATTTCAGAAAGGTCATCTTCAAGCTCTGAGATTCTTTCCTCCACTTGGTCTATTCTGGTATTGATACTTGTGAGTGCATCGTGAAGTTTTTGTGTTGTATTTCAGCTCCATCAGGTTGGTTATGTTTCTCTCTAAACTGGCTATTGTGGCTGTCAGCTCCTGTATTGTTTTATCTTGATTGTTAGCTTCTTTGTGTTGGGTTACAACATGTTCCTTTAGCTCAGCCAAGTTAATTATTATCCACCTTCTGAAGTCTACTTCTTTCAATTCAGCGGTCTCAGCCTCAGCCCAGTTCTGTGCCCTTGCTGGAGAGGCATTGTGATCATTTGAAGAATAGGCGCTGTAGTTTTTTGACTTTTCAGTGTTTTTGTGTTGATTTTTTTCCCTCATCTTTGTGGGCTTATCTACCTTCGATCTTTGAGGTTGCTGATCTTTGAATGTTTTTTTTGTAGGGTGTTTTTTTTTCTTTCTGTTTTTCTTCTAACAGGCCGCTCTTCTGCAGGGCTGCCGCGTGTTTTGGGGGGTCCACTCCGGACCCTAATCGCCTGGGTCCCTCCCACACCTGACGGTATCACCAGTGGAGATTACAACACAGTAAAGATGGCAGCCTGCTCCTTCCTCAGGGAGCTTTGTTCCAGAAGGGTACGAACCTGATGCCAGCTCAAATATTCCTGTAGGAGGTGTCTGGAGACTCTTGTTGGAGGTCACCCAGTCGGGAAGAACGGGATTAGGGACCTGCTTAAAGAAGCAGTCTGGCTGCCTCTTGGTGGGGTGACTCCGCTGTGCTGGAGAACCCTTCTCCTGCAGACCGCCCAGACTCTCCACAGCCGGCAGGCAGGAAATGCTATGTCTGCTGAACCGTGAAGACCTTTGTCGCTTCTCCCCACCAGGGGCTCCCTCCCAGGGAGATCAGAGTTCTGTCTGGTAAAACCCTTGCTAGAGTTGCTGAAATTCCTCCAGGAAGGACTTGCCTGGTGAGGAGGGATGGATTAGGGTCCCACTTAAAAAAGCAGTCTGGCCACGATTTGCCACAGCAGCTGTGCTGTGTTGTGGGGAATTCCTCCCAATCTGGACCACCCAGACTTCCAGGAGCTGCAGGCCAGGATGGCTGACTCCAGCTGCAGAGATGGCAGCTGCCCCTGCCCCCCGGGAACTTGGTAGTCGCAGGCAGTCTCCAACCTATTGCCACTGGGCGTCTGGAGTTCCAAGCCAGTGGGTCTTAACTTGTGAGGAGCTCTGGGAGTGGGGCCTGCTGAACGAGCCTGCTTGGCTCCCTGGCTTTTCTACAGGAATGGACGGGTGTCCTGCCTCATTGGAATTCCCAGGCACGGAGTATGCAAAAACTCCTGTGTTTCTGTGTGTGCCAGATCAGCCGCTGACAGTCTGCACAGCTCTGTGCTTTTCACCCAAGGCCCTGGTGGCCTGGGCTTGAAGGGATCTTATTCGTGGGTTGCAAAGATCTGTGGGAAAAGCCTGGTTTCCCAGGCAGGGTCGCACAATCACTCACCCCCTTTCTTGGCTGGAGCTGGGAGCTCCCCTTGCCCATGCGGCTTGTGCTTCCAGGTGAGCTATTGCCCCACTCTGTTTTTCCTCTCTCTACATGGGTCACGCCGATTGCGTAGTCAGTACCAAACGAGAACCTGGATACCTTAGTTGAAGGTGTAGAATTCACTTTCCATTTTTGTTCTTCTCTGTGAAAGCCGCAGTTCGCAGCTGCTTCTAATTGGTCATCTTGGCCTGCCCCCTAATTTTTATTTTTTTCCAAGAATTTATAATTGCTTGTTGATACTTTCGTATGATACCTGCTTTAAATGTCTTGTCAGATACTTCTAGCATTTGTTCCATCTTGGTGTTGTCATCTGTTGACTGTCTTTTCTCATTTTAGTTGAAATTTTTTCTTTTTATTGTTATGATGAGTACTTTTGAAATGCGTTCTATACATTTTCAGTATCGTGTTATGAAATTACAGTTTCTATTTACATCTTCTGTTTTAGTAGAAAGTCAGATTATTTGGGTTTAAAGCATATATCCTGGACCACTTTTGTGGGCTGTGGTTCAGATGTCAATTTGGTGCTTAAAAACGCCACAGTACTTTTCTGTTCTGTTTATATGGTACCCAGTGGACTTTTTGAAACATGGACAGTATTCCACATGATAATTTAATTTTCAGAGCTTTTGCTATATTGATTTTAGTTTCACCTATGAGTCTTTTGGGAGTATATGCAGGATTTCATACACAGATTTGAACATTTCCTTTATTTTCCCCGACCTTTCCATAATCTACCACTTCTCAACTATTATCTAGCTGGGAAGAGGCAAGGTGCTGCCTTTTGCTGTTATTTACTTAGTACAGGATGAGTTCGATGACATGGCTCTGCCCAAGAGTTTCTGCAGCACCCGGTGGTGAGTGGGAGGAATGTCACCTTGTTAGTACAGTACCTAGGGAGTCAACAGGACTCTGCATAACAATCTCTACAAAACTTGGTGGGGAAGGGGCAGGATGAAGTTCCTTTTGTGGTATTTCTGTGGAGCAGAGAGGGTATAGTCACAAGTTTTTCTGCAGGGATTTACTTCAGAATATTTACATACAAAGTCATATAATCTATGGAAAGTGACTTTACAAATCCTATGAATATTATTATTATTATCATGTTTTAGTGTAGTGGCATTGGCATCATCAGTAGGATGCTGGATAAAACTGGTGCAAGTGAGTATCCTTAGCTTGTTTCTGGGGGAAAGTTTTAATAATTCACTATACTGTATAATATGCTTAGTAATTTAAAAATATTATTTACCATTTAAAGAAGTCTGCTTCTATTTCTAGTTTATCAAGTGTTATA
Organism: Homo sapiens; assembly: GCF_000001405.40. Lineage (NCBI taxonomy): Eukaryota > Metazoa > Chordata > Mammalia > Primates > Hominidae > Homo > Homo sapiens. Next base: position 97,909,754 of record NC_000004.12, on the reverse strand, counting down.
TTAGGAATATATTCTAAATTTTATTAAGCATTTTTTCAAATCTATTGGGTTACTTATGATTTTTTAATTCTCTTATCAAGTAAATTATATTGATTACTTTTTAAATGCAAATTTATTTTTGCATGTGTTGAATAAAATGTAGGTGTTTTTGATGTATCCTTTTAATATGTCACAGCACTATTTACTAATATTTTATTTAGGACTTTTGTTTCTATTTTTGTGGGATGCATTGGTCTGTAATTTCCTTTTTAGTAATTTCCTTGTTAGGGTTTGATGTCATGGTTATGGTCACCACATAAAGTTGGTAAGTGTTGCCTGTTTTTCCATTTTCTGAAAGAATTTGTGTGAGATTGTTGTTGAATTTACTGGTGTAACCATTTGAGGGTAGATTCTTTATGTAAGATAGCTTTTAATAACAGATTAAATTTGGTAGATTTGGTAGATTTAGAAATTATTTTTCATTTTTTTCTTCTGCCAATTTCTTTTCATTTTATTTAAATTTTCAAATGTATTTGCATAAAGTTGTTCATAATGTGCTTTTATTATTTTTAATGTTTCTAGGATATATAATTAACAATTGCTTCTTAAAATTCCTGATTAGCTTATGCTTTTTCACTCTTTCTGTTTGTTTTTGTTTTTGTTTTTGTTTGTTTGCCTTTTGATTGTTTATTGGGGCTTGATGGGTTGTTTATTATAGCAGCTGCCACAACTTATTATTATTATTATTATTATTATTATTATTATACTTTAAGTTTTAGGGTACATGTGCACAATGTGCAGGTTAGTTACATATGTATACATGTGCCATGCTGGTGCGCTGCACCCACTAACTTGTCATCTAGCATTAGGTATATCGCCCAATGCTATCCCTCCCCCCTCCCCCAACCCCACAACAGTCCCCAGAATGTGATGTTCCCCTTCCCGTGTCCATGTGTTCTCATTGTTCAATTCCCACCTATGAGTGAGAATATGCGGTGTTTGGTTTTTTGTTCTTGCGATAGTTTACTGAGAATGATGATTTCCAATTTCATCCATGTCCCTACAAAGGACATGTACTCATCATTTTTTATGGCTGCATAGTATTCCATGGTGTATATGTGCCACATTTTCTTAATCCAGTCTATCATTGTTGGACATTTGGGTTGGTTCCAAGTCTTTGCTATTGTGAATAATGCTGCAATAAACATATGTGTGCATGTGTCTTTATAGCAGCATGATTTATAATCCTTTGGGTATATACCCAGTAATGGGATGGCTGGGTCAAATGGTATTTCTAGTTCTAGATCCCTGAGGAATCGCCACACTGACTTCCACAATGGTTGAACTAGTTTACAGTCCCACCAACAGCGTAAAAGTGTTCCTATTTCTCCACATCCTCTCCAGCACCTGTTGTTTCCTGACTTTTTAATGATTGCCATTCTAAGTGGTGTGAGATGGTATCTCATTGTGGTTTTGATTTGCATTTCTCTGATGGCCAGTGATGGTGAGCATTTTTTCATGTGTTTTTTGGCTGCATAAATGTCTTCTTTTGAGAAGTGTGTGTTCATGTCCTTTGCCCACTTTTTGATGGGGTTGTTTTTTTCTTGTAAATTTGTTTGAGTTCATTGTAGATTCTGGATATTAGCCCTTTGTCAGATGAGTAGGTTGCGAAAATTTTCTCCCATTTTGTAGGTTGCCTGTTCACTCTGATGGTAGTTTCTTTTGCTGTGCAGAAGCTCTTTAGTTTAATAAGATCCCATTTGTCAATTTTGGCTTTTGTTGCCATTGCTTTTGGTGTTTTAGACATGAAGACCTTGCCCAAGCCTATGACCTGAATGGTCAGGCCTAGGTTTTCTTCTAGGGTTTTTATGGTTTTAGGTCTAACGTTTAAGTCTTTAATCCATCTTGAATTGATTTTTGTATAAGGTGTAAGGAAGGGATCCAGTTTCAGCTTTCTACATATGGCTAGCCAGTTTTCCCACCACTATTTATTAAATAGGGAATCCTTTCCCCATTGCTTGTTTTTCTGAGGTTTGTCAAAGATCAGATGGTTGTAGATAAGTGGCGTTATTTCTGAGGGCTCTGTTCTGTTCCATTGGTCTATATCTCTGTTTTGGTACCAGTACCATGCTGTTTTGGTTACTGTAGCCTTGTAGTATAGTTTGAAGTCAGGTAGCATGATGCCTCCAGCTTTGTTCTTTTGGCTTAGGATTGACTTGGCGATGTAGGCTCTTTTTTGGTTCCATATGAACTTTAAAGTAGTTTTTTCCAATTCTGTGAAGAAAGGCATTGGTAGCTTGATGGGGATGGCATTGAATCTGTAAATTACCTTGGGCAGTATGGCCATTTTCACAATATTGATTCTTCCTACCCATGAACATGGATTATTCTTCCATTTGTTTGTATCTTCTTTTATTTCCTTGAGCAGTGGTTTGTAGTTCTCCTTGAAGAGGTCCTTCACATCCCTTGTAAGTTGGATTCCTAGGTATTTTATTCTCTTGGAAGCAATTGTGAATGGGAGTTCACTCATGATTTGGCTCTCTGTTTGTCTGTTGTTGGTGTATAAGAATGCTTGTGATTTTTGTACATTGATTTTGTATCCTGAGACTTTGCTGAAGTTGCTTATCAGCTTAAGGAGATTTTGGGCTGAGATAATGGGGTTCCCTAGATATACAATCATGTCGTCTGCAAACAGGGACAATTTGACTTCCTCTTTTCCTAATTGAATACCCTTTATTTCCTTCTCCTGCCTAATTGCCCTGGCCAGAACTTCCAACACTATGTTGAATAGGAGTGGTGAGAGAGGGCATCCCTGTCTTGTGCCAGTTTTCAAAGGGAATGCTTCCAGTTTTTGCCCATTCAGTATGAGATTGGCTGTGGGTTTGTCATAGATAGCTCTTATTATTTTGAGATACGTCCCATCAATACCTAATTTATTGAGAATTTTTAGTTTGACGGGGTGTTGAATTTTGTCAAAGGCCTTTTCTGCATCTATTGAGATAATCATGTGGTTTTTGTCTTTGGCTCTGTTTATATGCTGGATTACATTTATTGATTTGTGTATATTGAACCAGCCTTGCATCCCAGGGATGAAGCCCACTTGATCATGGTGGATAAGCTTTTTGATGTGCTGCTGGATTCGGTTTGCCAATATTTTATTGAGGATTTTTGCATCAATGTTCATCAAGGATATTGGTCTAAAATTCTCTTTTTTGGTTGTGTCTCTGCCAGGCTTTGGTATCAGGATGATACTGGCCTGATAAAATGAGTTAGGGAGGATTCTCTCTTTTTCTATTGATAGGAATAGTTTCAGAAGGAATGGTACCAGCTCCTCCTTGTACCTCTGGTAGAATTCGGCTGTGAATCCATCTGGTCCTGGACTCTTTTTGGTTGGTAAGCTATTGACTATTGCCACAATTTCAGATCCTTTTATTGGTGTATTCAGAGATTCAACTTCTTCCTGGTTTAGTCTTGGGAGGGTGTATGTTTCGAGGAATTTATCCATTTCTTCTAGATTTTCTAGTTTATTTGCGTAGAGGTGTTTGTAGTATTCTCTGATAGTAGTTTGTATTTCTGTGGGATCGGTGGTGATATCCCCTTTATCATTTTTTATTGCATCTATTTGATTCTTCTCTCTTTTTTTCCTTATTAGTCTTGCTAGCGGTCTATCAGTTTTGTTGATCCTTTCAAAAAACCAGCTGCTGGATTCATTACTTTTTTGAAGGGTTTTTGTGTCTCTATTTCCTTCAGTTCTGCTCTGATCTTAGTTATTTCTTGCCTTCTGCTGGCTTTTGAATGTGTTTGCTCTTGCTTTTCTAGTTCTTTTAATTGTGATGTTAGGGCGTCAATTTTGGATCTTTCCTGCTTTCTCTTGTGGGCATTTAGTTCTATAAATTTCCCTCTACACACTGCTTTGAATGCGTCCCAGAGATTCTGGTATGTTGTGTCTTTGTTCTCGTTGGTTTCAAAGAATTGCAACTCCTGCCTTTTTTTATTTTCCATTTGCTTGGTAGATCTTCCTCCATCCTTTTATTTTGAGCCTATGTGTGTCTCTGCACGTGAGATGGGTTTCCTGAATACAGCACACTGATGGATCTTGACTCTTTATCCAATTTGCCAGTCTGTGTCTTTTAATGGAGCATTTAGTCCATTTACATTTAAAGTTAATATTGTTATGTGTGAATTTGATCCTGTCATTATGATGTTAACTGGTTATTTTGCTCGTTAGTTGATGCAGTTTCTTCCTAGTCTCGATGGTCTTTACATTTTGGCATGATTTTGCAGTGGCTGGTACCGGTTGTTCCTTTCCATGTTTGGCACTTCCTTCAGGAGCTCTTTTAGGGCAGGCCTGGTGGTGACAAAATCTCTCAGCATTTGCTTGTCTGTAAAGTATTTTATTTCTCCTTCACTTATGAAGCTTAGTTTGGCTGGATATGAAATTGTGGGTTGAAAATTCTTTTCTTTAAGAATGTTGAATATTGGCCCCCACTGTCTTCTGGCTTGTAGAGTTTCTGCCGAGACATCCGCTGTTAGTCTGATGGGCTTCCCTTTGAGGGTAACCCGACCTTTCTCTCTGGCTGCCCTTAACATTTTTTCCTTCATTTCAACTTTGGTGAATCTGACAATCATGTGTCTTGGAGTTGCTCTTCTCGAGGAGTATCTTTGTGGCGTTCTCTGTACTTCCTGAATCTGAATGTTGGCCTGCCTTGCTAGATTGGGGAAATTCTCCTGGATAATATCCTGCAGAGTGTTTTCCAACTTGGTTCCATTCTCCCCGTCACTTTCAGGTACACCAATCAGACGTAGATTTTGTCTTTTCACATAGTCCCATATTTCTTGGAGGCTTTGCTCGTTTCTTTTTATTCTTTTTCTCTAAAGTTCCCTTCTCACTTCATTTCATTCATTTCATCTTCCATCGCTGATACCCTTTCTTCCAGTTGATTGCATCGGCTTCTGAGCCTTCTGCATTCTTCACGTAGTTCTCAAGCCTTGGTTTTCAGCTCCATCAGCTCCTTTAGGCACTTCTCTGTATTGATTATTCTAGTTATACATTCTTCTAAATTTTTTTCAAAGTTTTCAACTTCTTTGCCTTTGGTTTGAATGTCCTCCCATAGCTCGGAGTAATTTGATTATCTGAATCCTTCTTCTATCAGCTCGTCAAAGTCATTCTCTGTCCAGCTTTGTTCCGTTGCTGGTGAGGAACTGCGTTCCTTTGGAGGAGGAGAGGCAGGAAACTGCTTTTTAGAGTTTCCAGTTTTTCTGTTCTGTTTTTTCCCCATCTTTGTGGTTTTATCTACTTTTGGTCTTTGATGATGGTGATGTACAGATGGGTTTTTGGTGTGGATATCCTTTCTGTTTGTTAGTTTTCCTTTTAACAGACAGGACCCTCAGCTGCAGGTCTGTTGGAGTACCTGGCCAGCCGTGTGAGGTGTCAGTCTGCCCCTGCTGGGGGGTGCCTCCCAGTTAGGCTGCTCGGGGGTCAGGGGTCAGGGACCCACTTGAGGAGGCAGTCTGCCTGTTCTCAGATCTCCAGCTGTGTGCTGGGAGAACCACTGCTCTCTTCAAAGCTGTTAGACAGGGACATTTAAGTCTGCAGAGGTTACTGCTGTCTTTTTGTTTTTCTGTGCCCTGCCCCCAGAGGTGGAGCCTACAGAGGCAGGCAGGCCTCCTTCAGCTGTGGTGGGCTCCACCCAGTTCGAGCTTTCCAGCTGCTTTGTTTACCTAAGCAAGCCTGGGCAATGCTGGGCGCCCCTCCCCCAGCCTCGCTGCTGCCTTGCAGTTTGATCTCAGACTGCTGTGCTAGCAATCAGCGAGACTCTGTGGGCGTAGGACTCTCTGAGCCAGGTGCGGAATATAATCTCGTGGTGCGCCATTTTTTAAGCCCGTTGGAAAAGCGCAGTATTCGGGTGGGAGTGACCCGATTTTCCAGGTGCCATCTGTCACCCCTTTTTTTGACTAGGAAAGGGAACTCCCTGACCCCTTGCGCTTCCCGAGTGAGGCAATGTCTCGCCCTGCTTCGGCTCCTGCACAGTTTGCGCACCCACTGACCTGCGCCCACTGTCTGGCACTCCCTAGTGAGATGAACCCAGTACCTCAGATGGAAATGCAGAAATCACCAGTCTTCTGCGTTGCTCACGCTGGGAGCTGTTGCTATTCGGCCATCTTGGCTCCTTCCCCTCTTTTTTTGTTAATCGGTCTTACTACATGAGTTTTATTGGTCTTTTAAAATAGCCGTCTTGTGGCTTTATTTTTGATTCTATATTTATTGTACTCACTGTCTATTATTTTTCTCCTTTATTTACTTTATTTAATTTGCTGTTTTTTTTTTAGATTTTTAATTGTATGCTTAGATACTTGATTTTTGGCCATTTTTTAATTTTAATTTTTTCCAGCTATAATGAAGTGTAATTGACAAATAAAAATTGTGTATATTCAAAGTGTACAATGTGATGTTTTGAGATACACACATATATGCACATACATTGTAGAATAATTGCCACAACTAATCATATTATCATATCCATTATCTCATATAGTTTCCTTTTTGTGTGTATGTAATTAGAATAATTGAGATCTATTCTCTTGGCAAATTTCAAGTATACAATACACTGTTATTATTACAGTCACTATGCTGTGCGGTAGGTGTCCAGAATATATTCATTTTGTAACTTCGAGTTTGAACCCTTTGACCACCATCTCATTTTTCTGATATCCTGACTCCTAGTAACCATCCTTCTACTCTGTTTCTATGAGTTTGACTTTTTAAGACTATATATAAGTGAGATCATGCAAACTTTTTCTTTTTAAAGGCTGAATAATATTCATTCATATAAATATATATATCACATTTTCTCTATCTGTTCATCCATTAGTGGCCACTTATGTTGATTTCATATCTTGGCTCTTGTGAATAATGCTGCAATGAAAATGGAAGTACTGATATCTCTTCAACATACTGATTTTATTTCTTTTGGATGTATAGCCAAAAGTGAAGTTGCAGGATCATACAGTAGTTCTATTTTTAATATTTTGAGGAGCCTCTATACTGTTTTCCATAATGACTGTACCAATTTACATACCCACCAAAATATGTAAGAGCTTTCTTTTCTACACATCCTCAGCTACACCGGTTACCTTTGAGTTTTTTGATGATAATCCTTCTTAAAGATGTGAAGTGGTATCTCCTTGTGGTTTTGATTTTCATTTCCCTGATGATTAGTGATGTTGAGCATTAGTTCATATATCTATTGGCCATACAAATGTCTTCTTTAGAAAAATATCTTATTCAAGTATTTTGCCAACTGTTAGTTATTTGTTTCTTTTTGTTGAGTTTATGAGTTCTTTGTATGTTTTGAAGATTAACCCTTATCAGGTATGTAGTTTGCAAATATTTTCTTTTATTCTGTAGGTTGCCTTTTTGTTTTGTTGATTGTCTCCTTTGCAGCGCAGAAGCTTTTAAGTTTTATATAGTCCCACTTGTTTAATTTTGCTTTTGTTGCCTGTGCTTATGATCTCAGATCCATGAGATTATTTCCAAGACCAGTGTCATAGAGCTTTCCCCCTCTGTTTTCTTCTAGAAATCCTGTGGTTTCAGGTCTGACATTTAAGTCTTTAATTGATTTTGAATTGATCTTTTTATATGGTGTTAAGGATCTGATTTTATTCTTTTGCTCATGGATACTCAGGTTTCTCAAGACTATTTATTGAAGAGAATATCCTTTCTATATCATTCATTTTTGGTGATTTTGCCAAAGATTTGTTGATAGTATATGTGTGGGTTTATTTCCAGGCTTTCTATTTTGTTCTATTTTTCTATGTATCTGCTATGTCAGTACTATACTGTTTGATTATTATAGCTTTATAATATATTTGAAATAAGGATCTGTATGCCTGCAACTTTGTCCTTCTTACTCAAGTGTGCTTTAGTTATTTGGAGTCTTTTGTGGCTCCATATGAATTTTAGGATTTTTTTTATTTCTGTGAAAAATGTCGTGAAATTTTGATAGGGATTGCATTGAATCTGTATATTACTTTCAGTAATGTTTTGACAGTATTAATTCTTTACATTCATGAATATAGGGTATCTTTTCATTTATTTGTATCTTCTATTTCTTTTATCAATATTTTATAGTTTTCAGCATACAGATCTTTCACCCTCTTGGTTAAATTTATTCCTAAATAACATTTTGATACTATAAGAAATAAGATGGTTTTCTTAATGTCTTTAACAAATAGTTTGTTGTTAGTGCAAGCATGTGATTTTTGTATGTTAATTTTGTATTCTGTAACATTACTGTATTATTAGTTGTAACTTTTTTTGGGGGGGCAGTAGTCTTTAGAGCTTTCTATATGTAAGAACATGTCATCCTCAAACAGAAACAATTTTGCTTCTTCTTTTCTGAGTTGGATGCCTTTTATTATTTTTTTTCTTGCCCAATTGTTCTGGCTAGAACTTCTAGTACTAGATTGAAGTGGCAAAGTGGGCATCTTTGTCTTGTTCCTGATCTTAAAGGAAAAGCTTTGAACTTTTCCCCATTGAGTATGATGTTAGCTGTGGGCTTGTCATACATGGCCTTTATTTTCATTTTGAGGTACATTCTGTAGTTATGGGACACAATGATATAAATATGTCAATCATCCTAAATTTGTTAATTCTGTTATTCAAGTCTTCCATATACTTATGTAAGTTTTGTTTGTTTATTCAATATGTTACAAGGACAATTGCATTAAAATCTTGAACTTGCAATGTGGATTTGTTTTTTTCTTTGAGTGTTGCCTGATTTGCAAAATCAAAACAAAATAAGAAAGTTTAAAGGTTATTTTCACCTCTTATGTTTTAAAAAAACTTTTATTTTCAGTTTGAGGATACATATGAAGGTTTGTTACATAGGTAAACTTGTGTCACAGAGGTTTGTTGTAAAGATTATTTCGTTACCCAGGCATTAAGTCCAATACCCAACAGTTATCTTTTCTGCTCCTTTCCTTCCTTCCACCCTCCACCCACAAGTAGACTCCAGTGTCTGCTGTTATCTTCTTTGTGTTCATAAGTTCTCATCATTTAGCTCCCACTTAAAAGTGAGAACATGTGGTATTTGATTTTCTGTTTCTGTGTTAGTTTGGTAAGAATAATGGCCTCCAGATCTATCCATGTTTCTGCAAAAGACATGATCTTGTTCTTTCTTATGGCAGCATGGTATTTCATTGTGTATATACACCACATTTTCTTTATCCAGTCTGTCATTAATGGTCACTGAGGTTGATTCCATGTCTTTGGTATTGTGAATAGGGCTGCAGTGATTCATTCATGTGCATCTGTTTTTATGGTAGAATGATTTCTATTCCTCTGGGAATATACCCGGTAATGGGATTGCTGCGTTGAATGGTAATTCTGCTTTTAGCTCTTTGAGGAATTGCCATACTGCTTTCCACAATGGTTGAACTAATTTACACTCCCATTGACAGTATATTAGCATTTCTTTTTCTGCAACCTTGTCAGCATCTGTTATTTTTTGACTTTTTAACAATAGCCATTCTGACTGGTGTGAAACACTATCTCATTGTGGTTTTGATTTGCATTTGTATAATTATTAGTGATATTCAGCATTTTTTCCCCAAATGCTTGTTGGCTGCATGTATGTCTTCTTTTGAAAAGTATCTGTTCATGTCCTTTGCTAACTTTTTAATGGGGTTGTTTTTCTGTTGTAAATTTGTTTAAGTTCCTTATAGATACTGGATATTAGACCTTTGTCAGATGCATAGTTTGCAAAAATTTCCTTCCATTCTGTAGGTTGTCTGTTCACTCTGTTGATAGTTTCATTTGCTTTTGTTGTGATTGCTTTCAGTATCTTTGTCATGAAATCTTTGCCCATTCCTGTGTCCAGAATGATATTGCCTAGGTTGTCTTCAAGGGTTTTTATAGTTTGGATTTTTACATTTAAGTCTTTAATCCATCTTAAGCTGATTTTTGTATATGGTATAAGGAAGGGGTCCAGCTTCAATATTCTGCATGTAGCTGCCAGTTATCCCGGCACCATTTATTGAATAGGGATTATTTTCCCCATTGCATGTTTTTGTCAGGTTTGTTAAAGATCAGATGGTTGTAGATGTGCAGCCTTATTTCTGGGTGCTCTATTCTGTTCTGTTGGTTTATGTGCCTGTTTTTGTACTATTACCACACTGTTTTGGTTACTGTAGCCCTGTAATATAATTTGAATTTGGGTAGTGTAATGCCTCCAGCTTTGTTCTTTTTGCTTAGAATTACCTTGGCTATTTGGATTCTTTTTTGGTTTCATGTGAATTTTAAAATTTTTTTTCTAGTTCAGTGAAGAAAATCATTGGTAGTTTGATAGGAAAAGCATTAAATCTGTAAATTGCTTTGGGCAGTATGGCCATTTTAATGATATTGATTCTTCCTATCCATGAGCATGGGATGCTTTTTCATTTGTTTGTGTCTTCTCTGATTTCTGTGAGCACTGTTTTGTAACTCTCATTGTAGAGATATTTCACCTCTCTGGTTAGTTGTATTCCTTGTTATTTTATTCTTTTTGTGGCAATTGTAAATAAGATTACATTTTTGATTTGGCTCTCAGTTTGCCTATTGTTGGTGTATAGGTAAGGTAGTGAGTTTTGTATATTGATTTCATATCCTGAAAGTTTGGTGTAGTTGTTTATTAGCTGAAGGAGCTTTTGGGCTGAGATTATGGGGTTTTCTAGATCCAGAATCATGTAATTTGCAAACAGAGATAGTTTGACTTCCTCTCTGTTCCTTTTGGATGCCCTTTATTTTTTTCTCTTGCCTGATTGCTCTGACTAGGACTTTCAATACTATGTTGAATAGGAGTTCACCTCTTAAAGTTATCCTTTTCAAAGTCATTCTCCCATTTCCTTTCATTTTCATTATACAAATAATAATTGAATTTTTATATGTGTAAAATGTAATTTAATTATAAAAGATACGAATTTTGCTCATCATTTTTCTCTCTTCCCCATATCCTTTCAGAATTTTAAAATTTTAATTTATCAGCATTTTGATTCTAAATATATGATTCTTTCATTGCACTTAAGTTGTTTGTAATCTAATAATTAAAGCTTTTAAATTATATGGTAGGCAGTGTCATGTAAAACTAAATGCCTCCTCATGGAGATTATGTTAGACAAGGGCTAGATGATGGTTACTGAGGGTACTGTGAAGTGTTTTCTTGTATAGAAACATTCGAGATATTGATATTTTCATTTGTTTTAAGCATTGAAATAACATACCTTTGACATTTATACAAAGAACATTCACACAGATTTTATGATTAAATATTCAATTACTGGAAAAAAAATCTAGAAGTTCAAGTATTAAAATGAAGTGAAGGATTTTTGAGAGTTTCTTATTTTCCTCATTTCCAACAATTCTGTAATTGGACAACTTATTGGTAATTAAGATTTTTTAAAATTTATAAGAGTAACACATGATCATTGAAGAAATTTTTGAAGATAGAAAAATGCAAAGGATACAAAAGCAGACACATATTCCAATGGAACAACTAGAGAGTCCAGAAAGAAGTCTGGATACCTACAACCATCTGATCTTTGACAAAGCTGACAAAATCAAGCAATGGAGACAGGAGTCACTGTTCAATAAATGCTGCTGAGATAACTGGCTAGCCATATGCCGAAGATTGAATCTGGACTTCTTCCTTACGCCATAATCAAAATTTAACTCAGGATGGATTAAAGACTTAAATGTAAAACCCAAGACTATAAAAAACCTTGAAGACAACCTGGACAATACTATTCTGGAATAGGAGTGGGCAAAGATTTCATGACAAAGATACTGAAAGCAATTACACAAAAGCAAAAATTGACAAGAGGGATCTAATTATACTTAAGAGCTTCTGCATGGCAAAGGAGGCTATCAACAGAGTGAACAGACAACCTACAGAATGGGAGGAAATTTTTGTAAACTATGCACCTGACAAAGGTCTAATATCCAGCATCTATAAGGAACTTAAACAAATTTACAAGAGAAAAACAAAACCCCATTAAAAAATAGACAAAGGATGTGAACACACACTTTTCAAAAGAAGACATACATGCAGCTAGCAATCACATGAAACAGAGCTCAACATCAGTGATCATTAGAGAAATGTAACTTGAAACCACAGTGAGATACCATATCACACCAGTCAGAATGGCTGTTATTAAAAAGTCAAAAAATAACAGATGCTGACAAGGTTGCAGAGAAAAAAGAATGCTAACACACTGTTAGTGGGAGTGTAAATTAGTTCAACTATTGTGGAAGACAGGGTGGTGATTTTTCAAAGACCTAAAAACAGAAATACCATTCAACTCAGCGATCCCATTACTGGGTATATATCCAAAGGAATATAAATCATTCTGTTATAAAGACACATGTATGCATATGTTCATTGCAGCACTATTCACAATAGCAAAGACATGGAATCATCCTAAATGTCCATCAGTGATAGACTGGATAAAAAATGGGGTACGTATATACCATGGAATACTATGCAATTATAAAAAAGAATGAGATCATGTCCTTTGTAGGAACATGGATGGAGCTGGAGGCCATTATTCTTAGCAAACTATTGCAGGAACAGAAAACCAAATACTGCATATTTTCACTCGTAAGTGGGAGCTAAATGATGAGAACATATGGACACATAGAGGTGAACAACACACACTGGGGCTTATTGAAAGGTGGAGGGTGGGAGGAGGGAGAGGATCAGGAATAATAACTAATAGGTACTAGGCTTAATACCTGGGTGATGAAATAATTTGTGCAACAAACCCTCATGACACAGCTTTACCTATATAACAATCCTGCACATGTACCCAGAACTTAAAATAAAAGTTAAATAAAGAAAAGCAGAAGGAAAAAGATAAGTTTATATAGTCTTCCCAACTAATAGTAGCAACTGTTAATGTTTTAGTGAATTTTTCTTTCATTGTAATACTGTGAAAATATCTTTTTTTGTAGTTTTTCTTTAATAAGACTATATCATAAACATTTTATGCTATAAACCATTTTCATTAACATTTAATTTTTACAAAATATAAAAATATTTATTTGATGTGAAATTTGCATTCATAAAGATGTCCCATAATTCAACTCTCAATTAAATTAATCATTACTTTTATGTAGGAATAAATAGATAGTGATGGGTGTATTTAAATTCGGCAACCATCCATTATAACTTAAGAATAGATTAGTAACATAGATTTTTTTAGCCATATCTCTCACAGGTTTAATTTTTTAAATTTTCTGTCATCCTTACCTACTTATGTAGTGCTTTTTGCAAATTAAACATCTGCAGCAACTGCACTTGTTTACTTTTGACACTGTTTACTTGGGGTTTTTCTCTTATTTTCCATTTGTGTTCTAAGTTATATAGGCATCCTTAAGTGGTAGTTGACATGTTTGCTTCAGTTTGTATGTAATAGGTTTCATTCCTTCTAGACACAAAATTTTATATTAATTCTATGTTTCTTCATTTGGGTTAGTTATGATGATTACCATAATTCTGTCTCTCTTGCCACAGTGATGAGTTCAGGTGGAATAGGAGCTATGGTGGCCCAGAGAATAACCCCAGATTGTGTTCTATGTTTGGAGAAAAAGCTTGATCTTTTTCTGAATTGTGTAACATATGGATATAAGGCTGCAGCCATTATACTATCATGAGGAAAGCCTTCCTGCAGGAGATGACACTTGGAAGGAAATTGGGCTTACAGACTCAGAGAAAAATGGAATTGAAAAACTTTTAAAGTCACACCTGAAGCCTCTTTACTTTCTTCTAAAGCAGGGATGTTTAGCCTTGTGTTCACACTTGATGTTATCTGGGAACTTGTGAAATTATATTTTAAAGTACCCAAGACCACTTAAATAATTTCTGGGGAGGATGCCTTGGGATATGGGCAAGGGAATTATTTTATAAACCTCTCCAAGTGATTCCCACAGACAGGATTGAGAGCCATTGCTCTAGGTTTTTCAGTAACATGAGCCCGTAACTTACTGTATTATTTAAGTCCATTTGTTTCTTTGTCTGTTTTATGCAACCAGAAGAAATCTCACTGATAGACAAGGGAAGGGGATTTTATTAGAAGAACTTAGGAAAGAAAGCATCACTACAGAATTCTTATGCCAGCATGTAAAATCTAGGTCTAGGATTTATTAAAAATTCTGGTAGCTATTAAGTTCAATTTGTTAGCAAAATTGGAAAAAAAAGGGAATCATGCAAACCATTGCTATGAGATAAGTACATGTCAAGCCATATTTCAGAAGGAATAATTATGACTTTATAAAAGGACTTATTTTGTATTGGCTAATTAATGGAGTGTATACAGAATCGACATACATCCTCCATGCTTTTTTCAGTTGCATAGGAGATACTTTGCAATAAATTAGACTATATCTCTTGAAAGTTTATGTGATATCAGTGTTGATTTATAATTTCTTACTCTTTACGTTATAGACAGAGATTGCCTTTTTGTTTCCTTTGTCATGTTTTAGGTGTAGATTAGGCAGTTCAAAGGTAATATCTTAGCAACAAGCCCTGTTTTTACATTTTTCTGGCACAATGGTAGATTTCTTCTATTATTATTATTACCGTGTCATCACTATCATACTTTATTGCAATTGCTTGGCCCTATATCTAGATTGAATTTTCTTTCTGGGTTATACCTTGAGCCCACAATTATTGTGATTCTTGAAATAAACACAGTATTCTTATGTTCTGTTTGAGCTGTGTGATTTTATTTAACATTTGGTCATATTTATTTAAAAACTTTAGAGAGTGGTTGAAAATCATCAAATTGAGACTGCAAGTGATAGATCAAATATTCTTGCTAATTTTTAAATATTTTTCTTTGCACTGTCACTTGAATAATTTTTAAAACAAATTTAGAAATCCATTTCTTACTCTTTCTCTCAGCTGCTTTTGCTCGCTAGCCTTAGGCTGACAGCTATTGTTGAGACCCCAGTCTCTGAATTAGGATACCAGCATTTGGAAATTTGTGCAAGCTTCCTGAACTGACATAAATTTAGATCAAGGAAGATTTCAATTTAGACACGTAAACTAGTAGGGACAGTGACAACTGAAGATCATATTGAGCATTTGAATATGCTCAATATTAAAATAAGCTGACAGCTGAAGAGCATGGTTAAGATTGAGTAGAGCAGTTAATTGGGAATCCTGAGATAAATGAACTGAGGAGAGAAAAGTTGAACCCATCAGAAATGATCATAAGAAATGGGAGTTGCTAGAAGACAAAGTTACAGCCAAAGTAGACAGAAGGAATTTCTTATCTTAGAAAGGAAATTTTCTTCTATTTTTGAAACGAGGAGGCAGAAGCAGTTGCTTTTGTTTGAATAACCTATATTCAGAGTAGTTACAATGGGAAATTGTACTACATTGTATTTTTTCGTAGATGAATGTTGTGAGGAAAATTGTAATATTTTAATGTAGGAATTTAACACCTTAAATTTCATTTGATATAAGGTGATGTATAAATAAATATTAAAGTTATTCATGAGTCACCTGTATTACAAAAAAGGCATGTGAAAAATGGATTTCAAAAGTGAATTCATATTTAGAACTGGATTCATTCCTACCACAAATCTAGAATATGGTTCATCTTTCATAGTTACATAAGGCCAAACTTTTATACATCTAGATTTCTGCAAAGTATCTTATACTTTTGTTTCTAAACACATAGACCTTTATACTCTATATAATTGAATAGCTACTTTGTTGTTATTGGCACGGAAGAAAACATATTTTAATTTTCCTCTCTTACATTCTGTTTCATACCCCATCGACTTTTACCCTTTCTGTTCCTGATACTAGGGTCCATTATCTTTGCTTTCCAAATTTATAAATAATAGATTTTAGGGGACTCAGACAAATGTAACACAGGTGTCTAGAGATTGCCACCTGTCTCCCTCAACATCCATTCTTTCCTTTCTTCTTATTGGCAGAACCTCTGAATCTTCTGTTATAATAATGTACCATTTGTAACTACATGTAGTTGTAGACTAAGTTTTGGCCGATGAAAGGTAATTTAATTTACTTCCTAACTCTGAATCTGATTTTCTCTTTAGTAAAATAGTCTCCTTCCTTACATTTTCCTGACAGCAGTAAGTTTTTTTACTCTGAGAAATTTCTTGAAAATTGAGGGGATGATTTTTCTTTTCCATTGTTTAGACAATGAGGACAAGGGCCTCATCTAGGGACTGCAAAGCAGTGAGTTGGAAGAGCTTAAATCCCTTACAACTTCTAGGAGTGTTATATCAGCCCTGAATTTCCTACCCCTGGAATTATTTTAAACGAAAGAGAAATAAACTTCTATTTTACTTAAGCCACTGTATTTTGTATTTCTATATTTAATGAAATCTATATTTGATTACCAAATGTTTCAGTGTGAGTCATGTTTTAGTCAAAGTGCTTCAGTCCAAAAATATCATTTTGATCCTTTTTTGGGATCTTTTTTTTGTGGTTCCAAATGAATAGTCCATTATAATTCTTTATATAATCCCACTCATCCTCCTACTCCCAGAAGAATTCTCTCTTTCACCAACACCCTCCGTATAGCACTTAGGATATAGGCCATGCAGTACCCCTGCTATGAGGAACCTAATGAGGAATGTAGTTAGTTTCCCTCCCTAACTGGAAGAAGCTAAGCAGGTGGTATCTGAATGTTATGGTCAAAGGAGAAGGGTAAGGTTGTGGACTTTCAGACATGAATAATTTGATCTTTCCACCAGTTATCTTTTTAATTTAATTCTCTGTTGAATACTCATCTCTTTCTGTTGTTTTTGGATTGGTTCTGGTTCTTGATTTTGCTGTACAAAAGAATTTGAGAGTGAGTCCAAAGTAGAAGTAGGCAAAGAAGTTTATTGGAGAGTGAAAGTACACTCTGAGAGGCAGAGTGGGCTATGCAAAGCAGGTGACAGCTGCTAGTGCCTTAGGGGGATTCTCTTTATGGGAGCTGTACATACATATGCATAAAATACTGGTGAGACCAAATATGCAAAGGCAGCCCTGTGGTTGGTGCATGTGCTCAGCATCTACATGCCCTAACACACATCACAGGTATCATTAGCATATGAAATTTCCACCTAGGTTGTTTTTTAAACTATTAAATGAGGAAAAGGTCACTATAAGCTAAACCTTAAGCTTAGCTGTGCATGTGGGACCTAGGAGAAGTCCCTAGCTCCTCCAAGACAGGAATTTGTAACTGATAGCTTATGCGGTCTTTGGTACTGATTGACTGGAGATTAGGGAAGTGATAACATAAATAAGGCATTTTGTTCTCTTTCCTGGGCCATATAGGGTATTAGGAACTTGTAACTATCTGGCAATAGACTGTTATTCTGTAGGACTGCTTATCTTGCAAAAGAATTAGGTGCTGATGCATGAGAGTGCAAGTGATGTGAAAGGAGCTCACAGGGCTTCACACAAGGGGACAAGTCAGTATGGACTCCTGACCTTACTTATCTGGCCTCATTTTTTCATCTTCTTAAAAATGGACTTATTGTTCTAAGAGTAACTTGCCCACATTTTTACACTGAGTAAATGACCAAGTCAGAGCTTGAACTTGCTTTTGTCTGATTCTAAAACCCATGATTATATCTCTATATTTTATTGCACAAAGATTATAATAGGGTGTGATAAGTACGTTGGTAGAGAAAATTTTAGAGAAAAGTAGATACCTGAGTGGAAGTTATGCAGATGACTTCTGGCAGTGAGGAGCACTGGAGTGGGGTACCATGGGAATAGAAAGGTAGTTCAGGATGAGGAAACCTCTACTACATACCAGATAGCCAGCAATGGGGGATTGGCTGATTTACTGAAAAAGGTAGACATAATGGTTTCTGACTTCATGGAGTTTAAGCATTTTTTCTGCTTTTGTAATTAAATTTATTGTTCTTTCCATTCAAATGAAATATTGCTGTATTATAGTTAAATTTATTCTTCCTTTAGAGATTTAGGTAATTCCAATCCAGAAAATTCATCCTCTTCTTCAAAAAACAAGACTAGAAATGCAGTGCATGCAAAGTTTTACATTATTTTTCTATATTTTCTTTAAGATTTTTTTTCTACTTGTAGGAAAATGAATAAGAGCAAGATATATTTTTGGCTTTCAGATAGGACTGAAAGAAATACCTAAGCAAATTTAAAAAGACCCCAAAAAGCAATACGTTTATAATTTTCATAAAATAACAACATACTATTTATTTATCAATTGTTCTTGCTATTTAGATATATCATTTTTTTTTAGTTACCTGCTTTGGTAAATAAAGCTTTATTTCTTAAACATGCACTCAGGAGAATATATGAAAAGTGAGAGATATTACTGTTCTCAAAATGTCTGTTACACAAAGTTCTCTCATAACCTTTATAGCAGTGAGAATTTGGCATGTGTTTTTAGCTTCCAGCTGATTGAGTTTCTCACATTTTTCTTTTATAAAAGTCAATTTATTTATTTACTTATTTTTAAGAACTTATGTTCTTATACAGATAAACTTTTAATGATCACAAAGTGAGATTAAGTAATAACTTTTTTGACATTTAAGTAGGTTTTGCTTATTAAAAGTTACTCTAGCAAAGTAATGCGTGCACAGAATTTAGTATGTCTAATAGTTGTACAATGCTTTTTATAAAATCAGGCAACCCCTGTTCTGTTCTCCCTTGACTTTCAATTTTTAGAGACAATTATTTCTAGCACTTTTTGGTTTCAGTTCTCCTACCAATATATTTCTAAATTATATGCCTATAATACTAATTCTTAATTTTTTTCAAGAGTCAGTATTATGTACTGACTTATTTCTATGAAAAACGTGAATTTTGATTATTTTGTTTTTATATATTAATTTGTTTATATAGTTTGTACATGTGCTGATGTATATTTCATATCTTGTCATAAGTTTTTTCACTCTCAAAAATTGATATGTAGTAGTTGCACATATTTTGGGGGCATATGTGCTATTTTGATACCTTTATATAGTGTATAATGATAAAATTAGGGTAACTGGGATAGCTATCACTTCAGACATTTACCTTTCTTTGTTTGTGGAACAATCCAACTCTTCTTTTAGCTGTTTTTTGAAATATATAATAAATTATTAACTATAATTCCTTACTGTAGTATTGAATATTAGACATTATTCCTTCTGTCTAGCTGCATTTTTGTACCCCGTCACCAACTTCTCTTCAGTTTTATTAACTTTGTATTAAATGTGGGTTGCCTTTTAAGCTAATGTTATCATTTCTATTTGGATTTTTAAATAATAATTAAATAATTTTTTAAAATTTATGCAACATTTAGAAGTTCTGTCCTCCAAAAGAATCATAAGGACTTGTTCTTTTGCTAGCATGCTTTTCACTCTTTTACAAAATAATTTAAAAAAAATTTTTTTAAATTTGGTGTTGGCAAGTCTTGTGAGTGGTAATGCTGTATTTTGTTTTTTAGTTTTTAGATATGATAACATTTTTACAGGCCCTTTTAAGATACCTTCACCCATCAATCTCTCTCCTAGTGATCTTGTTATGGTAATCCTGGTAGACCTGATTTTTGCCACATTTCTTTATTTTGTGGGAAACATTCAGGATTATCATGGTAACTCACAGGAACTCTGTGACTAGTTCTTGGTTTGAGAAGCTTAGAAGAAAAGTTAGCTAGAAAAAGATTACTCTTTTGAGAATTATGCCACCAATCTGGAAAAACTGATTGCCTTTAATAGCTCCTTATGTCTTTAATTTTCCTTTTATCTTCTAATGTATTTCAAATTAATTAGATTTCTGAAAATTTTGTCTTCCAACTCTTTTTGAGGGAGGGCAAGCATTGCTTGAACTACTTTTAAGAATAAAACAACAAAACTCCTATCCTGTAGCTAACTAATGTGTAGTACCTCACATTATTATCATTTTCGTACTGAGAAAATATTGTATGTCACTCTCTTAGGATTTTTCAAGAATAATATATTAACTATAGTCACCATGTTATACAATAGATCTTTTGGACTTTTCCTACTGTCTGAATGAAATTTTGCAGCATTTGACCAGCACGTCCCCAAAACTCTCTTTCCCCCAAACTTTTTCCCTTACTACCAGCCATTAGTAATCACAGTTCTACTCTCTATTTCTATGAAATCAATTTTTTCAATTCCACATATTAGTGAGATCATGCAGTATTTGTATTTCTCTGCCTGGCTTATTTTGTGTAACATAATGTCTTTGAGATTCATCCATGTTTCTGTGAATAGAAGGGTTTACTTTTTATGGCTGAATAGTTTTCCATTATGTATATATACCGCACTTTCTTTATCTGTTCATCTGCTGATAGATACTTAGGTTTATTCCATATCTTGACTACTGTGAATAATGTGGCAATAAACATGGGAATATAGTTATCTCATCAACATACTGATTTACTTCCCTTTGGGTATATACACAGCAGTAGGACTGATAAGTCATATGTTAGGTTTAATTTTTTGAGAAACCTCTTTACTGTTTTCCATAATTGCTATACTAATTTACATCCCCACCAACAGTGTGCTAGGTTTCCCTTTTCTCTGTATGCTTGCAAACACTTAGTGTCTTTTGCCTTTTTGATAATAGGTGTGTATTAGTTTGTTCTGGCATTGCTATAAAGAAATACCTGACACTGGATAATTTATAAAGAAAACAGTATTAATGGGCTCACAGTTCTGCAGGCTGTACAGGAAGCATGATGCTAGCTTCTGTGGAGGCCTCAGGAAACTTACAATGGCTGAAGGTGAAGGGGAAGCAGGCTCATCTTACATGGCTGAAGAAGGAGGAAGGAGTGGAGGGAGGTGCCATACACTTTTAAATAACTGTAACTTGTGAGAACTTTATCATCAGAATAGTACCAAAATGGGAAATGTGTCCCAATGATCCAGTCACCTCCTACCAGGCCCCACCTTCAACACTGGGGGTTGCAATTTGACATGATATTTGGGCAGGGACAAAAATCCAAAGCATTTTATTCCACCTCTGTCCCCTCCCAAGTCTCATGTTCTTCTCACATTGCAATGTACAATAATCTCTTCTTAACAGTTTCCCAAAGTCTTAAATCATTTCAGCATTGACTCAAAAGTACACAGTCCAAAGTCTTATATGAGACAAGGCAGTGTGTTCTGCCTGTGAGCCTGTAAAATCAAAAACTAGTTACTTCCAAGATACAATTTTGTTCTAAATCTCCTTTTGTTCTAAAAGGGAGAAATCAGCCAAAAGAAAGGTGCTACAGGCCCTGTACAAATCTGAAACCCAGCAGGACAGTCACTGAATCTTAAAGCTCCAGTATAATCTCTCTTGACTCTATGTCTCACCTCCAGAGCACACTGGTGCAAGGGGTCTGCTCCCAAGGTCTTGGGCAGCTCCACCCCTTTGGCTCTGAAGGGCTCAGCCCCCATGGCTGCTCTCAAGGGCTGGCATTGAGTACCAATAGCTTTTCCAGGCTGAGGGTACAAGCTGTCGGTGGATCTACCATTCTGGGGTCTGGAGGATGGTGGCCCTCTTATCACAGCTCGCCTAAGCAGTGCCCCAGTGGAACCTGTGTTTGGGGTCTCCAACCCCACTTTTTCCCTCTGCACTGCCCTAGTAGGGGTTCCCTTTGAGGCTCTGCCCCTGCAGCAGGCTTCTGACTGGACACCAGGGCTTTTCCATATATTCTCTGAAATCTAGGTGGAGGTGCCCATGACTCAACTCTTGCACTCTGTGCACCCACAGGCTTAATACCATGTGGAAGCTGCTAAGGCTTATGACTTAAATCCTCTGAAGCAGTGGCCTGAGCTGTACCTGAACACTTTTGAGCCATGACTGAGGCTGGAGTGGCTGGGATGCAGGGAGCAGTTTCCCAAGGCTGCACAGGGCAGTGGGCCCTTGGGCCTGGCTCACAAAACCATTCTGTTCTCCTAGGCTTCTGGTCCTGTGATGGGATGGGCTGCCCCAAATGTCTCTGAAATTCCTTAGAAGTCTTATTTTCATTGTCTTTACTATTAGTACTTGGATCCTTTTCGGTTATGCAAATTCTGCAGCCTGCTTAATTTTTTCCCCAGAAAATAAACTTTTCTTTTCTTACCACATGAGCAGGCTACAAATTTTTCTAACTTTTAAGCTCTGCTTTTCCTTTAAATATAAGTTCCAACTTTAGGTCATTGATTTCCTCATGTATATGAGTATAGGTTTTTAGAAGCAGACAGGCCACATCTTGAATACTTTGTTGCTTAGAAATTTCTTCTGTTAGATACCCTAAATCATCACTGTTGTGTTCAAACTTCTATAGATCCCTAGGGAAGAGGCACAATGAAACCAAGTTCTTTTCTAAGGCATAACGAAAGTGATTGTTACTCCAGTTCCCAATAAGTTCCTCATCTCCATCTGAGATCTTGTCAACCTGACCTTCACTGTTCATTTCACTACCAGCATTTTGGTCATAACCATTGAACCAGTCTCTAGTAATTTCTAAAATTTCCCTCATCTTCCTGTCTCCTTGTGAGCCCTTCACACTCTTCCAACCTCTGCTCATTACCCAGTTCCAAAGTTGCTTCCACATTTTCAGGTATCTTTATATTAATACCCCACTTCTGGTTCCAATTTTCTGTATTGGTCTGTTCTTGCATTGCTATGAAGAAATACCTGAAACTGAGTAGTTTATAAAGAAAAGAGGCTTAATTGGCTCACAGTTCCACAGGCTGTACAGGAATCCTAGTGACTTCTGCTCCTGCGGAGGCCTCAGGAAACTTACGATCCTGGTGGAAGGCAAAGGGGGAGCAGCTGGCTTACCTTATGTGGTGTAGCAGGAGCAAGGGAGAGAACAGAAAGGTGCTGCACACTTTTAAACAATCTTATCTCATTATAACTTACTATCACCAGAACAGCACTGAGGGGATGGCGCTAAAGCGTTCACGAGCAACCACTGACATGATTCAATCACCTTCCACCAGACCCCACGTCCAATACTGGGGACTATAATTTGACATGACATTTGGGCAGTGACACAGATCCAAACCATATCAATAACCAAATTAGTTGATATGAAAGAGAAGGAAAGTAATTACCTAAAAAGCAGATTGATAGTACTTGTTTAATAGTTTGACGTGAAGAGTAGAAAAAAGAAGGCATAGTCTTTTCCTTAAAATTATTCTTTAGTTTGAGTTCTTCCAGAAACATACGTTTACAGGTTTCCATTTAGTCATATGTGGATATATCTCCATTCATTTTGGCTTTTTGAAGCTTGTTCTTCAGTAGATTTCTTTGAAAGTGCTCACAGGAATTTTGTTCCCTTAGATTTTGCATGTTGACAACACATTTTATTGCCTTTTTACTTTAAAATAATATTGGCTGCATTTAAAATCTTTGGTTCCTGTTTTCTTTTCTTGACTATCTTAAATATGTTAGTTAGTCTGTTTTCTACTGGCATAAAGCATTACTGTTGAAAAGTCAAATAAATGTTTTATTTTTTCCCTTTTAATTGATTTAGTCTTTTTTGCCTCGATGCCTAAATTATTTTTTTCTATAAAGTTCAGTAATTCTACTAGAATACACTTCGATTTTGCCACTCTAGGAAGATTTTCCCAGATGAGTACTATGCTCTTTACATATGTAGCTATAAATTTTTTTCCTCAAGAAGATTTTGTTGAATTATAAGTATTAGTATGTATTCTATTCCACTGCTTTGATTATTTATTTTATACATACACTTTGATCTTTGCCTATTGCATATTTTTGTCATTTCACCTTGAACACTTGGTCATTTCTTTTTAATTGTGAAAAATTGACCTCACTTTAATCTTAGAACATTTTATGACTTTTATTTATCTTTGTGTTTCTTTAAGTTTATTCTTCTCTTCTTAAATAGTTTTTATCTTTGTATTTTTCTTGAGTTTTCTCAAGTTGTTTGTGAGTTTTGCTAATTTTGATTTACAGTTGTACCACAATATGCATGGGGGATTGGTTCCAGGGCCTCCTGCGTATACCAACGTCCATGGATACACAATTCCCACAACTGACCTTCCAGAAACTATGTTTACAAATGCTGGCCCATTGTATTTGTGGAATTCACATCCATGAATAGTATTTTCAATTTGTGTTTGGTTGAAAAAAATCTGTGTATATATGAACCTGTGCAGTTCAAACGCATGTTATTCAGTGGCCAATGGTATATTGTTCATTTATATATTATGCTATTTTCTTCATCTTTAGCTTGCTTTGAAACACTAGGTATCCTGGATTTAATGTGGTCAATTGAATATCACCAATATTTTCTACTAGGTTGGAAAATACATTTTTCACAATTCTATTTTCTCTTTGTCTTTAGGTAAGAGTTTGACTATGGTAACACGTGATATTTAGAAAGTGGAAGTAAAATAGAATTTGTTATTCTGGGGATGTCATGATGCCCAGTTGCAGTGGCATTAGAGATCTTTTCACATACTATTTTATGGTTGTGGCAGCTGGACCCAACAGTCTCTCACTTTTAAATTCTTGTTCTCACTGTTCTGAGTTCTGGTATCTTCACCAACTCCAGGGTTTCAGGCTGAAGTTGTTAGTTACTATTTCTCCAGTTCACTGACTGGAGTCTTCTAAATGTACACTGTCTAGACTTTCCCACATTGATATAAGCTCTAATTTCTATGTTAAGCGTTACGTTTCTGTAGTACCTTTAGTAGCTATTTTTTTAATCAAACCCAGACATATACTGAGGTACAGTTTTAAATTGTTTTTATAATTATGTCTTTCCTAGAAGGCTATCTTTGTCTGTAGGGATGCTTTTCTGCATCTTGTTTTCTTTTGTTTCATAATATCTTTGTGTAGGTTTCTGTAACAGTCTGGTTTTTTTTGGTCATTATGATACCAAATTTGAACCGTGAGAAGGAAAAGGTAGGTCAGAAGAGCTTTTCTAATTTATAACACTAAGGTTCCTCCTCTGGTTGTTTTTTAGAAGTGTTTAAAACTCTTCCCTTGTCTTTTCTATAATTTCTTAGCTCTATAACCCTTCTTTTTTCTAGACCCCTCTTTTTTTGGCCCTTACTTTTTCTTTGCTTCTTTTTTTCTTTACCCAATGTAGAGCTATGTCCTAAAATGAAGCTTTGTTTGTGTATTAGTTTGCTAGTGCTGCTTGAACAAATACCACAGAGTAGATGGTATAAACAAAATAAATTTATTTTCTCACAATTCTGGAGGCTAGAAGTGCAAGAGCGAAGTGTGGTCATGATTGGTTTCTTCTAAGACCTCTCTTCTTGGCTTTCAATGGTCATCTTTTTCTGGTGTCTTCACATGGTTTTTCTGTAAATTGTTATCTGTGTCCTTTTTCTCTTTTTATAAAAAGAATCTCAATTTGAACTTATATTGGATTAGGGCCTTCCTTTACAACACCATTTTAACTTAATTACCATTTTAAATGCCTGATCTGCAAATATAGTCACATTTTGAGGTACTGAGGGTTAGGGTTAAGTTCATTGTAAAAATTTTGGGAAGACACGTTTCAGCTCATAATAGTTTGTTTGTTTTGAAGAGTTTATTGGACCCTGTCTGATTCAGTTGCTTATAACTTATTGTGTACTCCTTGCAATTACCCGTGAATGTGCAAAGCAATTCTCCCTTCCTTTCCCCCCTCTCTTCCCATAATAGTTTGGTTTGTTTTGAATGAGTTTATTGGGCCTGGACTGATTCAGTCTCCAGAACGTATTGTGGACTCCTTGCAGTTGCCCATGAGTGTGCAGAGCACTTCTCCCCACCCCCGCAAAAACTTCTTCCCCATCTTTGCCTCTCAGCCACCACATCCTCTGTTCCTATCTGCCTTCCTTTCTTCCTTCCTTTTCCTATTTATCCTGCATGGTGTTCTCTGAGGTTCTTTGATCATTACTTTTTGAAAATTCTTGGTTATTCTCTCTTAACTATTTCTTCTGAAATATGACGAGAAGCCTTCTTTCTCTCTCTTCCCCTTTCTAAGAGGATTTCAATTACATGAGTATTAGAACATTGACTATTGTCCAGCTCTTGGATTCTGTCTAAAACTTTTTTTCTTCTTCTTGTAATTGACTTGGAATAATTTTTATTGATCCATCTTTAATGCAGTGATTCTTTCCTTGGCTCTGTCGAGTCTAATGATGAATTAATAGGGTGCATTCTTTATCTCTGTTTCTGTTTTTTTCATTTCTAACACTTGTTTTGTTTATAATTTCATGTTGCTGCTAAAATTCTTCATCTGTCCATTCATGTTAGTCACCTTTTCCACTAAAGGCTTTATCATTGGTTATAGTTATTTTAAATTCCCTGTCTGAAAGTTTCAACATCTGGGTCATAACTGTATCTGAATGCTTTCTCTCTCTCTCTATTTTTTTTTTCTTAAAAATTTTAGACAAGGTCTTGCTCTGTCACTTAGGCTGGAGTGTACTGCCACAATCACTGCTCATTGCAGCCTTGATCTCTCAGGCTCAAGCAATCCTCCCACTTCAGCTTCTCGAGTAGCTGGGACTACAGGAGCACACCAACAAGGCCAGTTAATTAAAAAAATATATACATATATGTATGTGTGTATATGTATATTTATATACATATATGTATATATGTGTATATATATATATTTCTGTAGAGACAAGGTCTCCCTATGTTGCCCATGCTAGTCTCAAACTCCTGGGCTCAAGCGATCCTCCCACCTTAGCCTCCCAAAGTGTGGGGATTACAGCGTGAGCCACCATGACTGGCTTGCTTTCTCTCTTGATAATTTTGTGTGTACTTGTGTGTGTGTGTGTGTGTGTGTGTGTGTATGTGGTATGTATGTGTAGATTCTTTACAAAATTTATTTATGTTTTGTAAATTTTGGTTGAAAACTAGACATGTTGTGTAGCAGAGTAGAGAATAAAGTACACAATAATTATGCTTTGATTTGCATACCTTTGCCTTACCTTTTCTTCTGATAGGGCTTAACATGGAGGGTTGTGTCAGTCTTGTTCAGGATTTGAGTTGGTTTGGAGGCTTGGCTTGTTGTTGCTGGAATTTACCTCAGTGCATTGCTAGTTTCATGTTTTTTCATCATTACCTTATGTTTTGGGTGGCTGTTCATTGCCAGAAGGTTTTTCTTCAATATTTCTTTTCCACCCTCAGTTTATGCCTCATATTACTTCTTGCTTAGGTCTTGCTAGTGGTATGAGGGGCATTGGGTAGGTAGTCTACATTGTCCTAGCTTAGCCATAGCTTTAGTCAGATCCATGACCTTGGGTATCTGGCTGGATCTTTCACAGTTGTTTTGAACTTCTACAAAAATGCTATCATTTCCCAGTCCTCCCTCAGAGGAAAGTTTTCTTTCTCCAGGGATCTGCACCTGTGCCCTTGAGGCAACATGGTTTACTGCCTTTCTTCCTGTAGGTTGAGTCTTTTATATCACATGGGAGAATGACCTGGGTGGAGTTTGTGCTTGTTTCACAGTGGCAGCTATTTTCCTCCCCAAGGTCTACACAGTAAGAAATGCTTTCTCTAGTTTTCTACCCTGTCCCTTAATATTCCTTGTGAACATACAGTCCATAGTGTAGTGCTAATTCTCTTTGTATCTTCAGTTCCCCGGCATTCCATATTCTTACACTAGCTAGCCCACACTTAATCTTAAGCAACCCACTGAAAATTTCTCATACCAGCTTATGTGGTGTTTCTCATCATCCTCCTGTACTGCACTCCAGATAAACAGGTGCTTGTGACATGGTATTTTTTTTGTGTGTGTGTGGGGAGGGGGGCACCTGCCTTTCATTAAATTTCAGGCTAATTTATTGCTCTTTTATAGGTTTGAGAAAAAGAAAAGTCAATTAGATTTTGTTGTTAGGATGGTAGTGACACTCATTCCAGCTTTCAATACCCTAAATAGATGCTGAAAATCAGTTTTGAAATTAAAAACATTAAGTCTGACTAACCAAGGGTGAACAGATTTGGAGATTGTGATGGAGTACTATTAGGATATTGTTTCAATAATCTTTATGTTGGACAATGATGGCTGAAACTAGAGAAATGGGAAAAGTATGAAAGTCTGAGGAGTTTTTATGATGTAGCATTTTAAAGTGCACTTAAGTAGGAAATATTTTAGTCTAAATCTTCTCTGATAAAGCCAGTCTTTTAAACCATACAATTTGTTTCTGAATGTTATTTTCTCATGGTAAATGAGGCAGAATATTATTTATGTCATTTCCCAAAGAATCATCTAAGTCATTTTATTTATGACTATAGGAATGTTTTAAACCCTGAGATATTTTCTTACTTGCCCATTTATGAGTTTGGTTACTTCCTTAAAGAATATTAGCCAAAAGTATAGAAAATGCTTTTGCAAGGTCATATTAATGAGTATTTAAGGGAAGAATAACTACTAAAATAACAGCATTTTAGAGATGGAATAGACCTTAGGGAACTTTTAAAGTAACATTTTTACCTTTTAGAGATGAGAAAATTAAGGGGTGAAAAGGTTAAGTGACTTATGGAAAATATTGGAAAAGGATTTCTTGTAAAAAATGAGAGGGTTGGCTTAGATGAGCTCTGTTAGAGAAGGAGCTTTTTGTTTTGTCTTTTAATTTTTAAGACTTAGTGGCCTCTTCTCAGACTTTATTTTATTCACTTTGCACTCTTTACTAGTTTTTACCAGATCCAGGGGACTAGATCCCATTTTTTTTTTTCTTTACATGTATGCCCACTTCCTTTATTTCCTGGGCCTTCTTTGTGACTGAGATCACCTGTTATCTTCTCAGTTTTGCTCTTTTTATTTCTTCAAAATTGGTAAATAAATCCTTTCCTCATTAAGAGTAATTTTTATAGGAGAACAGTTTGAGAATAGCAGCAATAACAAAGAATATTTGAAGCTCTCAAATATTAAAATTATGTTAACAAAAATGCCAGCATCCTTCTGAACTGGTATTGGAAGTCTTGGTGGATGTATAGCTCAGTTACTCCTAAGTGTGTGATATATTCAATCCTGCTCTTCAATTTGAGTATATTCCCTTTCTCCTTGAAGGCTCCTCTTACCAGCATGCAAAAATGCAAAAATGCTCAGGAAAAAAAGTGTTCTTTAGCTGAAGTGGGTAATTTGTATTTCTTAGAAATGACTTCTAGTAATGTCAAGTCTTTATCTACCTCATATATGATCAATTCTTAAAAGACATATTTTCTTAACCACCAAGATCATTTTTAATGTAGGATTATCTAATTTGCGGACTTCCCTAGTGTTCCAGTTATATTGTAAGGGACTCTGAACTAGAAATCAGGAATTCTGATACCCTTCTCAAGGGTTTATTTTCTATACTCTGCTGCTTCTAAATGAAATAGATCTTGCCATTTTTTGTGATGTGTGAAGACAATCTTCTTTCATTCTGTACGACTTTCTATTTGGGCATACTTGCTCTGTCTTTGCCAGTTGCTATTTTGCTTGCTCTGCTTTTTTATTGTTATTATTTAAATATCTATGCATGCAAAATGAGAAGCTTCAAATGAACCTGATCCCATTGAAACAAAATGTAAAGGATCTTTTTTATATTTCACATGTAAGTGAGATCATACATTATTTGTCTTTCTGTTTCTGGCTTATCTCACTTAGCATAATATCTTCCAGTTCCATCTGTGTTATAATGAATGACAGAATTTCCTTCTTTTAGAAGGCTGTACGGTATTGTATTCTGCATATGTATCCCATTTTCCTTATCCATTTGTTCACTGATGGAGACGTAGGTTGGGTCCATAATTTAGCTATTGTGAATAATGCTGCAAAAAGCATGGGCATGCAGATATTTCTTCAACATAACCATTTCAGTTCCTTTAGATATATACTCAGAAATGGGATTGCTGGATAATATGGTAACTCTATTTTTAGTGTTTTGAGGAACCTCAACATTATTTTTTCATAATGGCTGTACTAATTTATATTCCTACCA
This sequence comes from Homo sapiens, assembly GCF_000001405.40. NCBI lineage: Eukaryota > Metazoa > Chordata > Mammalia > Primates > Hominidae > Homo > Homo sapiens. The sequence goes on along the minus strand of NC_000004.12, from coordinate 97,879,843 downwards.
ATAGTATACAGGGGTTCCCTTTTCCTCACCTTGATATCATTTGTCTTTCATTTGATTACCATTCTAACAGGTGTGAGATGATACCCTATTGTGTTTTAATATGCATTTTCCTGGTGATTAGAGATGTTGAGAATGTTTATATGTATCTATTGGCTGTGATGTGTTTGGCTGTGTCCACAACCAAATCTTATCTTGAATTGTAGCTCCCATAATTCCCATGTGTTGCAGGGGGGACCTGGTAAGAGACAATTGAATCATGGGGGCAGTTTCCCCCATACTGTTCTCATGGTATAAGAATAAGTCTCATGAGATCTGATGGCTTTATAAGGGGAAACCACTTTTGCTTCATTCTCATTCTCTCTTGTCTGCTGCCATGTAAGACATGCCTTTTGCCTTCCAGCATGATTGTGAGGCCTCCCCCAGCCATGTGGAACTATGAGTCCATTAAACCTCTTTTTCTTTATAAATTACCCGGTCTCAGGTATGTCTTTATCAGCAGCAAAAATGGACTAATACAGTAAATTGTTACCAGTAGAGTGGGGCACTGCTATAAAGATACCTGAAAATGTGGAAGCAACTTTGGAACTGGGTAACAGGCAGAGGTTGGAAGAGTTTGAAAGCCTCAGAAGTAGACAGGAAAATTTGGGAAAGTTTGGAACTTCCTAGAGACTTGTTGAATGGCTTTGGCCAAAATTCTGATAATGATATGCACAATGAAATGCAGGCTGAAAAGGTCTCAGATGGAGATGAGGAACTTGTTGGGAACTGGAGTAAAGGTGACTCTTGCTATGTTTTAGCAAGGAGACTGGCAGCATTTTGCCCATGCCTAGAGATTTATGGAACTTTGAACTTGAGGGAGATGATTTACGGTATCTGGCAGAAGAAATTTCTAAGCAGCAAAGCATTCAAGGGGTGACTTTGGTACTTTTAAAAGGATTCAGTTTTAAAAGGGAAACAGAGCATAAAAGCTTAGAAAATTTGCAGCCTGAGGAAGCAATAGAAAAGAAAAACCCATTTTCTGAGGAGAAATTTGAGTTGGCTGTAGAAATTTGCATAAGTAATAAGGAGCCAAATGTTAATCCCCCAGACAATGCAGGATAATGGGGAAAATGTCTTCAGGGCATGTCAGAGGTCTTCAGAGCAGCCCCTCCCATCACAGACCCAGAGGCCAGGAGGAAATAATGGTTTCATGGGCCTGACCCAGGGACCTCCTGCTCTGTGTGCCTAGGGACTTGGTGCCCTGTGTCCCAGCTGCTGTAGCCATGGCTAAAATGGAGCAAGGTACAGCTTGGGCTGTGGCTTCACAGGGTGCATGCTCCAAGCCTTGGCAGCTTCCATGTGATGTTGAGCCTATGGGTTGCACAAAAGGGGCAAGAATTAAGGTTTAGGAACCTCTGCCTAGATTTAAGAGGATGTATAGAAATTCCTGAATGTCCAGGCAAGAGTTTGCTGCAGGGGTGGGGCCCTCATGGAGAACCTCTGCTAGGGCAGTGCAGAAGGGAAATGTGGGGTGTGAGTCCCCGCACACAGTTCCTATTGGGACACTGTCTTGTGGAGCTGTGAAAAGAGATCCATTGTACTCCAGACCTCAGAATGGTAGATCCTCCTACAGCTTGCACTGTGCACCTGGAAAAGCTGGAGACAATGCCAGCAGTGAAAGCACCTGGGAGGGAGGCTGTACCCTGCAAAGCCACAGGGTTGGAGTTGCCCAAGACCATGGGGACCCACCTCTTGCATCAGTGTGACCTGGATGTGAAACATGGAGTCAAAGGAGATCATTTTGGAGCTTTAATATTTAACTGCCCTGCTGAATTTCAGACTTGCATGGGGCCTGCAGCCTCTTTGTTTTGGCCAATTTTTCCCATTTGGAATGGCTGTATTTACCCAATGCCTGTACCTCTATTTTATCTAGGAAGTAACTAACTTGCTTTTAATTTTACAGGCTCGTAGGTGGAAGGGATCGCCTTGTCTCAGATGAGACTTTGGACTGTGGACTTTTGAGTTAATGCTGAAATGAGTTAAGACTTTTGGGGACCGTTGGGAAGGCATGATTGGTTTTGAGATGTGAAGACATGAGATTGGGAGGGGCCAGGGGTGGAATGATATAGTTTGGCTGTGTCCCCACACAAATCCCATCTTGAATTGTAGCTCCCGTAATTCCCCCATGTTGTGGGAGGGACCCAGTGGAAGACAGTTGAATCATGGGGGCAGTTTCCCCACACTGTTCTCATGGTAGTGAATAAGTCTCTTGAGATCTGATGGTTTTATAATGGGAAGCCCCTTTCACTTCATCCTCATTTTCTCTTGTCTGCCACCATGTAAGACATGCCTTTGCCTTTCACCATAATGATAAGGCATCCCCAGCCACGTGGAACTGTGAGTCCGTTAAACTTCTTTTTCTTTATAAATTACCCAGTCTCAGGTATGTCTTTATCAGCAGTGTGAAAGTGAACTAATACATTATTTATGTGTCTTCTTTTGAGAAATGTGTGTTCATGTCCTTTGCCCATATTTTACCAGGTGATTTGTTTTCTTGCTATTGAGTTGTTTGAGTTCCTTGTAATGAATTTCATAGAAATGAGTAAAGAGGTGGTTACCAGAAGCTAGGGGAAAAGGGAGAGGGTTGAGAAAAGGGAAGATGTTGATTAAAGGGTACAAAGTTTCAGTTAGACTGGAGGAACTGCATGGTGACCATAATTGTAAATGTATATTTCAAAATTGCTAAAATAATAGATTTTAAATGTTATTACCACAAAAACATGATAAATTGTTAAGGTGATGGATTTGTTAATTAGTTTTATCAATGTTTCTACAATGTATACATAGATCAAAACATCACATTGTACCCCATAAATATACATAATTATTATTTGTCAACTAAAATAAATAAAAATAAATTGAAAATGGACAATATCTTTTATGGAAGATCTTACCTATATTTTAAAATTCTGCTATGACATGGTCCAAATTTTTTCTATTCTCTCTTGCTTATTTCCAGGCTAAGAAAACATAGAGTCTCTTTGCAGAAAATAAATATATTCAAAATTCTCATCGATATAAAATGCAACCTTTAATGAAATACTGTTTATGTAGAAATACCAAGAAAAAATGATATTTATGCATTCTATTGTTTCATCTTCTTTTAAATAATTAAAAAAACTTTTTAAAAAATGTTTTAAAACTTACATAGAGTAGAATATCCTTAGCTTTTTATGTATGTGATGATTAGTATGGAAAAGATATTCAAAGAAAATAAAGCAGTTCCCTAAACTCTAGAAAACAAAGGAAGCAGCATGTAATTTAATGATAAATATCTCTGAGGACTTTATAATTACCTTCTAATATGGCATTTATATTTAGAAAATTAATTGACTCCTTTTTATGGTCCCACATCCAATTCTATAAATATGCTTTTAAGACATCATTGCTTAATTATAAAAGAAGCATTAACAAAGTAGACTTTTAAAATCTGAATTTGCACATTTGAGCATTTCCACTAGGGTTTAAGACCTTTTCTAGACCTTTGATTTGCTATATAAAAAATCGTATATTAAACATTTGCCAACAATTTTCTAATGTGCATTGTAAATACACGATTACATCTGTTTCTTCATATGAGTCTCATAGTGCATACTTAAGGGGATTTTCTTCTACTGATATTCAATTGATTTAATTAGGCAAGTTCCACTAATGTCCTAATTGGAAGACAGACTTTTTAGCATTCGCTTGAGATTAGATTGCATTCATGGGATCATAATTATTCTGATGTCTTGCCACAGTTCATACAGTAGACGAACTGTGTACTGGCTGAATTTTTAATGAAGTCAACTTTTTACTTTCATTTTCCTGAAATTTTTCCCTTTATTTTGCATATAAGGTTGTTTCTCAAAGTGCCTGTTGTTGGTTTTATATTTTTTTCAGTGGTAACTCTCTTTCTAATATGTCCCATCACAAACACTTTAATAACATTTTGTTGTATATTTATGATTGTGAAATGAAAGAAAGACAAATCAATCTTGATCTGAAGATAATGTTGGAAAATAGCAATAAGAAAAATTATATATTAGAGCCCAACTGTGGCATAAAACATTTTGTTTTATAAGTTCTTAATATTTGCATACTAATTATAATTTTTGTCCAATTGTGTCTTATACTAGCTCATCTAAATTTATAATTCTAAAAAACACTGTTATGACCTTGCTATGTTCTAATCACTGTGTTAGCACTGGGGATATAAGGATAACTATAATTTTTCCTCTGGAAGAATTTCATCCAAAAGTGGAATTAATGTCTTAAAAAATTCTGTGGAAAATAACTTGTTTTTTAAAATTATTATTTGAAATAATTTCCTTTTTCATTTATATGTATATTCTACCTATAATTTAATGTCATGATGAATTCCCAGTGTGTTTTTTTTCCTTACGAGTCATTAGGCTCTGATCTTTTTTTTTCTTAGCCCAGCATTTCAGAGGTCTTTGGCCTTTAAAAAATATATAAAATGATGTATGTAGTTGCAATATACGTAAGTATATAAAGAGACAATTATGTATAGCCGCTATGGAAAAACAGGCAGTTTTATTCAAAAGTCCAATAGTTAAAATTTCGCCTACCAAAGACCCAGATATTCTACTCCTAAATGTTTATTCAAGGGAAATGAAAGCAAATATCCACAAAACATCTAGGTGAACGTTTATGGCAGTCTTATTAACCAAAGCCATTATTATTAACCAAAAACTGGAAACAATCTAAATGTTCATTAACTAGTGAATGATCAACAGACTAGCATATCCATATGATGGAATACTAATCAGCAAATAAAATAAATGAAATATAATGTCTTATTTTAGGCTGCTATAACAAATTACCTTCAATTGGGTGGCTTAAATGACAGGCATTTATTTCTCACATTGCTGGAGGCTGGGAAGTTCAAGGTCAAGGAGTTTTCTTGCTGTATCCTCATATGGCGGAGAGAGTCATAACTTTTCTCATGTCTCTTTTTTTTAAATGATCACTAGTCACAACATATGGGCTCCACCCTCATGACATAATTACCTTTTAAAGGCCCCATTTCGAAATACTGTGACATTTGGGATTAGGGCTTTAATGTACAAATTTTGGGGGGGCACATTGAGTCCATAGGATATACATATATACAAGAACATCAAGAACATGAGTGAATTTCAGCATCATAATGCTGAGTGAAGGAAACCAGAAACAAAATACTATGAAATATTTGAATCTGTTTTTATAAAACTCTAGAAAATGCAAACTTATATATAGCCCTAGAAAGCAGATCACTGTTTCCACGTGGATGTCTATGGAAGGTGGGATGGATTACAAAGGAACATAAGGAAACTTTTATTAAAAGGGGTGAAAATTTTTATTGTTTGATTGTTGTGATTGTTTCATGCATGTGACATATGTCAAAACTTAATTGTATACTGTAAATATGTGAAGTTTACTGTATGTCAATTATACATGAGCAAAGTTGCAAAAAAAATTACTTGGGAGATAAGAGAAATTGATGTATGTTATAAAAACACAGAGAAAACCACAGCAATGACAAGCAAAAATAAGTTATTGAAATGATAATGAACATGAATAGTCAACCCCAGGAAATAATGGATTCCCTAAGTTTCCAGTGGAGTTTTAAATAACTAATTTTCATTTCAGTTGGTCAAAGCTTTAAAATTAACCCTTTATTTTGATTGATAAAATTTACTTTTGATATCTGCCTTTACTATTTTGTTTCTGATGGAAAATTCTTCACTGCAAAAGAGGCTATATTAATGTTTTAAGCTTCTCTTTCATTATGTCCATTCTACTTATCCATTGTTTTATTTTAATTACATAATTAGAGAAAAAATATAAAGAAAATACTTTGACTTTTTTTCAAAAATACAATTTTCTTGGCCAGCTTCAGTAATAGAAACTTTCAAAAAATAAAAAATAAAAAGGTGCTGTGAACTTATTAAAGCCCAAGGCTATTTATTGACTGAATAGCTCCATGTATTTAATATAATTAATGTGTTAAGTTACTAATTAGAATTTTAATTTTGCAAGAGATGAAAATATCTTCAATTCAAACATGGTAAGGGCACTGGAGTAGAATGATTTTGTTTTTGTTTCTGTTTCTGTCTCTGGGAAAATCAATTGGATCTAAGGATATGAGGATCTTAGTACTAGGATACTTTTGAGTAGTTTGAAATGAAAGAAAAGGCATGACACATTGACATGTTGTTTCTTCTATATGATATGATATTTTTTAGGATTGTACAACATTACATATTAAAAGAGAAGATACATATGAGAGAAAGCTTTCATGTTCAATAGTGCTTTTTGTTATTGTAGTGTAATTTTTCTACAGTTAAAATGTTATTAGTAATAATCTAAAACTTTTGAACACTGTGTTTTCAGACTAAAATAAAAAAGAACTATAAACAAATGTTGCACTGTATTTAGGAGGTCTGGTTTTCACAGTGGTTTAGGTTAACAATTTTAAGCTACTTTCTCTGTGATCTAGGAATAAATGAAAGAGTAAATATTTTGAAAATAATGGAAACTGTTTCTTATTATTAGAGAAAGGAGTTATAAATGTGGAAAGGAGAAAGAAGGGAAGGAAAGGAGGAAGGAAAAAAGGAAAGAAGGAAGGAAGGGAGGGAGAGAGAAAGAAAGAAAACTAGAATTAAATTGAAATTGGAGATATAATTTGGTTGTATGTGTGGGTACGTGAGGATATAGATATAGGTAATAGGTGTGTACATACGTATATGTGTATTATTTTTTCCTAGCTCTGTGTGCTGAAAGGGTCCCAGTAGCAATGAACATACCTAGTTCTTAGACTTGGAGTTCTGAAATCTATTCATAACTTAAAAGTTTCCAGAGATCCTTAGAGAAATTACTGCTTTCATCGCAGGGACAGGAATATCTGGCTATGTTAAAAATTAGCACACATGAGAAAATAATTAGAATATGACAAAAGGACACAAGAATTAGCTTGAAGGTGCCCCCAACTGACTATATCTGGGGTAATTTGAGCATCAAAATTAAGTAATAATTGTAATAAGTTATAATATAGAAAAAAACAGGAATCTGTGAGTCAAAATGTGTAGATTCATAAAAATGATTGTTTTTATTAAATTTATTAATTAACCTATGATCTGTCATGTTTATGATGCCCATTCATTTTATACAGATTAAAGATATCTTTCCATATTTTGAAATCTAATTTTGCATATTTCAGAAATATTTTAATTTTTGTGTGTGTTTTCCAGATTTTTTTGAATACTTATTCTTACGTGTTTTTTCATCTTCTTTGTTGTTATTATACATAGGGGTTTTCTACTTAGAGTGTCTTCTAATTAATAATTGTTTGTGTATGTGAAGGATATTTGTTTCTGTGTGTTAATTTTGTATCCTTCTACCTTACTAAATTATTTTATTATCACTGAGTCTTTAGGATTTTCCAGATGTGCTATTATATAATTTGCAAATAGATACAGTGTTACTTCTTTAAAAATGTTTAAGCCTTTAGTGATGTCTTTTGTTTTCCTGCACAGGCTAATACTTTCAGTACAATATTAAATATTATTGGAGGTAACACTTACCTTTTTTCTTCCTGATGTTAGTGAAATACCCCTAGCACTTCCTGATTGAGTGAAATCAGTAACTTTGTAACTAAGCATATATATTTTTATCAATAAAGTATTTTATTATTCTCATTTTATTGAATGCTTTTGTTAAAATTGTGAGTAGGTATTAACCTTTGTTAAAGGTCTTTCTAACATTTATGAGATGATCATATGACTGTTCTTTTTAGAGATATTAACATGGTGTATTATGATCAATTTCATAATCTTAAATAAGCATTACATTCTTAGAATAAGCCCCATTTGTTCATGGTTTATTATTTTCTTAATGTTGTATTGAATTCTGTTCACAATTATTTTATTTAGTATTTTTGCATCATTTTCATAAGTGTGATTGGTCTATAATTTTCTTTTTCATATCACATTTATAAGATTTAAGAATCAATATTATATTTCCTTTATGAAAATAATTTGGAAGTTTGTTCTTCATTTTCTATGCCTTAGAACAATTTATGTAGCTTTGAGACTAGGTTTAACAGTAATAACAACTTCGTAGTTAGAATTCCCCAGTGAAATCTGGGTCTGATGCTTTCTTTGTAACTGTTTTTTCTTTTTCTACAAAATTTGACATTTTTTAGCTTTGTGTTTCTAACAAAACTGATGTTAGTAAACTGTATTTTCTAAAGAAATTATTCATGTTATCTAAGTTTTCAAATTTATTTAAATCAAGGTCTGAAAAGTAGACTAGTATGACTTTTTTCATTTCTTCTGATTCAATAATTATTTCCCTGTTTTCAACTGTCAATCCTTACTTTTAAAAAATTATGATTCCCCCCCTTTTTAAAAAAAAATTAGATTAGCTACTGGTGTGATTATTTTGTTAATTCTTTCAAAGAACCAGGATTTTGATCTTTTAAAATTAGATTTATTATTTAAAAAATTCTCTACCTTCAAAATTCCTGCCCTTTTTCTTTATTTCCTTTCTTTGCTTTCTTTTGCTTTATGTGATTGTTATTTTCCTACATCTTTTATATGAGAATTTAATTTATTTTTATTATTTCCTTTAATTGAGTTTTTAAGACTTTAATCACCACTTTTTATATTCCATACATTATAAGGTAGTGTTTTCATTATCATTATTGTTTTCAGAAATTCTATAATTTGAATTTGTATTTTCATTTTCACTCGAGCTATTTAGTATTACGTTCTTTAAATTTTGGATGGAAAGGTCTTTATGGCTATTTTTTTCTATTTTAAAATTTCTTGTTTTATTTCATTATGATCAGGAAGTGTCATTAATATTTCTATTTTATGTACCTTACTGTAGGCACATTCTTTGTGACATAAAATGTATGATTTTTTGGGGGTGAATTTTTTATATGTGTTTGAGAAGTTGTATTTTAGAGTATCAGGCTGTAAAGTTCAACATATATCCTTAAGATTTACGTTATTGGTGTATTGTTTATTTCTACATCTCTGTTTATTTTGGGACCATTGGAACTGTCTTGAACTGAATATTTGAGTTTAATGACTCCTACTAGTATGCTTCTACCTATTATTCTCAAGTCTCCTGCAATTTTTGTTTTATAATTGTCAATGATACATTATTTAATACATGAAGTCATAGTTTTATATCTTCATAGTAGATTGCCTTTTAGCCCAGAAAATGTTCTTCATTACAATTAATACTTTTTGGATTGAATTGTAATTTTTATAATATTATGATCACAGACTTTTTATTATAATGTTGATTACATTTGCCTGGTATACATGCTTCATCTTTGCTTACCCTTTTATTTTTCCCAGACTTTTGAAATCCCTTTGTTTCATATATGTAGTTTTGTTCATATAATTGTATGTATTTTATTATTTTGTTACCTATATGAAAATTATTTTATTTTAACAAGTGAGTTAAGTTTATTCACATTTATTTCTGTGAGTAATATATGTAGTTTCTATTCTGTCATAATATTTTGTTATATCACATTTTCGTGAAAATGTGTAGGCAGGAGCTTTCTTTTTCCTGTCCATACCTTTTGGCTTAGATATTCCTTTAGCTATGAATGTATTATCAAGAACATACATATTGTGTTTTCTGGGAGAAATAATTTTAATCCCTTAGGATATGACATGATTTTAAGAGAGGACAGGGCAGAAGTTATCATATTTGAATAGGACACATCAGATTATTTTGATGATGTTAAATATAAATTAGCACATAAGGAGAAATAATTGTGTGCTGGTTGAAAGAAATACCTGAGCAGAATTTTAAATGAAGGAAGATGTAATTTACAGAGCACTGAATTGCAAGTGGAAGACCCGGGTTCTTGTCCTGACTCTGCCAAACAGTGATGTAAGCAAGTCATATTATTGGTGAGAAGATGACCTACAACTTGTAGACAAATATTTGAGGCTCAAACCATGACTAGATATGAAAAGAAATTAAAAATTATATTATCTGAAATACTCTCAGGAAATTACTGAATACTACTTCATTAGCTTCTTTTTGGAGGGCAGGGCAATACTTCTAAAGGTTATGTTTGACTAGTAGTAGATAATGACAGAACTGCTTTCTAAAGTGGCAGGGTCTGGTTGACTATAGTAGCTTGGCTGCTGAGTAGACTTATATAAGTTTAAGGTTACAGATGCATCATTCTAGATGAAAAACAAAGGCTGAACCCTGCTAATCAAGGGTTGTCTTTTCCATTTATCTCCTATAACTGCATTCAACTCCTAATCTAAATAAATATTTTTTAAAAATCTAAATGTATCAAAATACCTAAATGCTGAAAATGTCAAAAGCTTATCTGTTTAAAAATGCACCAAAATATTTACCTTCTTGTATTGCTAAATAGTTAGTCTACCTGGGCTCTGTAGAACTCTGTAACTTACCTAGGCTCTGACCTAGGTAAGTTAACAGAGCCTTTAACTTTTAGTTTTTTCATTAATAAATAAAGATGACATTTTAGAGGGCATTTTAGAGCTAATTTTAGTTTTAAAATTATAAACTAATTGAATATAGATTATTCTATTCTAATTTACTACTTATTAAATTCTTGAAAATAATATTAAGGTGTTTTGTGTATCAACTGAGAGTATTGAGGACTTAGTAACACTTTTGACGTTAAACTCATCAACAAACAATTTAGCAAAATAACTTATGAGCTCTTCAAACTTTCTTTGTTTCTGGTCCTAACATCTGTTGACCATAGCCATATTTTTCAGAAAAGTCACATGCTCAAGATACAAAACTAATTAACATTGAAAACTATATCAAAAGACTTCTGGTTCTGGCATAATGTGAGATAAGATAACTCGAAATTTCTCTTACTGCAAAAGCTTTGAAATGCTTGATAAATTATAACAAAAAATGTAAGGATGACCTTTTAAAAGAAATTGAGAATATTTATCAGGCAACAAAAAAGGCAATTAAAAATTGGTTTGGTAAACACATGGTTTGACACTGTGTTTATCTTTGTGTTTGGAGGGAGTAGGAGATTTACAGATCTCAGATATACATTCTAACAGCTGTGCAGGAAAAAAAGATGTAGACTTGGAGCTGTCTGAGATGGGGAGTTGTAAATGAGACGGCACAAACCCAGAAAATGTAAAGGAGTACACTCTATGTGAGAAAGCAGACCGGCAAAATTTACTAGCCAAAACAGAAATTTGACAGGAGAGCCTTTGGTTGGAATCTGAGCTCCAAGAATTAAAAAATAACTTCCCTGAGAATTATAACCGTGGGCCTATGCCTCACACAGGCTTATGATCTTAACTTATGCTACCTCTAATGTCTGGGAATCCGTATGCTAAGAAATTAATATAAAAATTGTCCCTGAAAGGAAGTTCCTGTGATAAAAATACGCAAGTCTCCTGAAAAGACATGATCTCAGGCCTGGATGCCTAAGATTTCCACAGATGAACCTCCGCCAAAGATGAACTCACCATCAAAATTATAATATCAATGAGGAAATAATCCACCATGAATTTGATTCAGATGGTACAGTAAATAGCAGAGATAGATAGAAGAATCAGATAAAAACTATGCAAATATTTTTAAATGGCTAAAGGCATAAATAAAAGAACTGAAATATGAGGCAAGCAAGACACTATGAAAAACGAACAGGGAAATTGAAGACAAATCAAGTAGACCTTAAGAATTAAAATATATGGAAGTTATAGTAATAATGTTTTTAAAAAAGTTCAATGAATATGTGTGGCAGATACTTCAAGTTGCTTTTACAATACCCATTTTCTCTTTCTTTTAAAAAATAAAACCCCTAATTTTGTTTGGGTTGGCAATATAATTATTAAACAAACAGACACTGCATTGCTTGGCATCCTTCCAGCAGTGTATCCATGTGATAATGTTTTGGTCAAATTGCTATCCATGATTCCTTCCTCTTTGTTACTTTATTCTTATTTCCTGAAAGGCAACAGAAGGAATAAAATGAAGTATCCATTTTGCTATCATAAGGCAATCATGAGAATCAACCACATGTTAAGGTTGGCAGAGTAGAAAACAGAAGAGCTTGGGAACTGATATTACTATGGGACTGCTGCATCAGTCCTGGACTGCCAACTTTCCGTTGTCATGTTGTGTGATAAAAATAAATTCCTGTTTGGTCAATACTGTAATAAGGCTTCTGTTATGTGTAGCTTTATAACATCTAAAATGGGTAAAACAAAAAGGCAAGGAGAAAGTTAATATACTGGAAGATAGATTTGAAGTAAGTTCCTAAAATATACTAGAGATAATCAGTTGGAAAATGTAATGGAGACATTAGGAGAAAAAAATGAGAATTTACAGAATGCATCTGATAAGAATCTCACAAGGAGTTAATTGAAAATTTGGCAGAGATTATATCTGAAGAGGTCATGGCTGACATTTTTCCAATATAAATGAAAATGTGACTTCTCAGATTCAGTGGTGCTGAATCTAGTTCCAACAAAGATAAGTAAAAAATACACATCTAGATGCAGCATAATGAGACAGCAAAATACCAAAGGAAAAGGAGATTATCTATAAAAAAGCAGCCAAAGATAAAAGATTATCAACAGTTGAGGAGAAAATAATATAATCTAAAAGGCTTAAACAGAAAGTTTATTACAGCATATTACAGGCTTGTGTCAGTACTAAATGGATCAATAAACAGATTCTAGGCTGCACTTTCAGGAATGCACCCAAAGCTACTCCTCAGATCTGGGCTAGCATGGGAACTGCTTGCTGCTCCTGCACAATTAATTATTTACTTGTTTAACTGAGAGGTTGCCAGTATAGCTGCTGGCCCCCAGACCTAGCTACTGCTGCTTGATCAGGAAGCCAAATGCCCAAGTTTTTTTTACCTTGCTGCAACTGTCAGTTTGGGCCACACTGCCTTTAATCTATTCTCCCCAGCAAAGAAATTCTGATACCCTGCCTCCTCTTTCACATAACTCAGTTCCAAATTCAAGCTTACACAAATGCATTTGAATACCAAAAAATCTTATTGAGATCACTAGCTGTGAAAGTTTCCAGGAAATACAGTTTTCAGCTTTATAGTCTCCAAAATACAGCAGGACAGAGCAGAAGAAAGTTGAAAAAAAAGTTTATGATCCCATCTATATTCTGTATCACACATACCAAAAAGGGATAATTAGCTCAACATCACAATTTGCAGTACCAAAAACAAGCCAGAAGACAATGAGATAATACCCTCAGAGTGCCAAGAAAACAGATTTTTTTCAAAAAGAATTTACCCTAATAGACCCTTTCTGAAAGAACTACTAAATAATATACTTCATTAAGAAGGATATCAAACCTAGAGAGGAAGAGAAATATGTAAGGATAAATGATTTTCTTTTAAAACATTTTTTAGTTTTTGTGGGTACGTAGTATGTGTGTGTATTTATGGGGTATATGAGATACTTTGATACAGGCATACAGTGCATAATAATCAAATCCTAGTAAGTGAGGTATTTATCACATCAAGCATTTATCCTTTTTTGTTATGGACAATTCAATTATACTCTTTTAGTTATATTAAAATGTACAATACATTATTGTTGACTGTAGTTACCCTGTTGTACTATCAAATACTATTATAGATCTTATTCATTCTATCTAACCATATTTTTACCACTAACCATTCCCCCTTCCCTCCACTCAGAACTACCCTTCTTGGCCTCTGGTAACCATTGTTTTACTTGAAATCTCCATGAGTTCAACTGTTTTAATTTTTAGCTCCCACAAATAAGGGAGAACATGCAATATTTGTCTTTCTGTGCCTGGCTTCTATCATTTAACAATGACCTCCAGTTCCATCCATGTTGTTTCAAATGACAGAATCACACTTTTTTATGGCTACCTAGTATTCCATTCTATATATGTACCACATTTTCTTTTTTAAATATATATATATTTTTATTATACTTTAAGGTCTAGGGTACATGTGCACAATGTGCAGGTTTGTTACATATGTATACATCTGCCATGTTGGTGTGCTGCACCATTAACTCCTCATTTACATTAGGTATATCTCTTAATACTATCCCTTCCCCCTCACCCTACCCCACAACAGGCCCCGATGTGTCATGTTCCCCTTCCTGAGTCCAAGTGTTCTCATTGTTCAATTCCCACCTATGAGTGAGAATATGTGGTGTTTGGTTTTTTGTCCTGGGTATACACCCAGTAATGGGATGGCTGGGTCAAATGGTATTTCTAGTTCTAGATACCTAAGGAATTGCCACACTGTCTTCCACAATGGTTCAACTAGTTTACAGTCCCACCAACAGTGTAAAAGTGTTCCTATTTTTCCACATCCTCTCCAGCACCTGTTGTTTCCTGACTTTTTAATGCTCACCATTCTAACTGGTGTGAGATGATATTGTGGTATTGATTTGCATTTCTCTGATGGCCAGTGATGATGAGCATTTTTTCATGTGTCTTTTGGCTGCATAAATGTCTTCTTTTGAGAAGTGTCTTTTCATATCCTTTGTCCACTTTTTGATGGGGTTGTTTGTTTTTTTCTTGTAAATTTGTTTGAGTTCTTTGTAGATTCTGGATATTAGCCCTTTGTCAGATGAGTAGATTGCAAAAATTTTCTCCCATTCTGTAGGTTGCCTGTTCACTCTGATGATAGTTTCTTTTGCTGTGCAGAAGCTCTTTAGTTTAATGAGATCCCATTTGTCAATTTTGGCTTTTGTTGCCATTGCTTTTGGTGTTTTAGACATGAAGTCCTTGCCCATGTCTATGTCCTGAATGGTATTGCCTAGGTTTTCTTCTAGGGTTTTTATGGTTTTAGGTATAATATTTAAGTCTTTAATCCATCTTGAATGAATTTTTGTATAAGGTGTAAGGAAGGGATCCAGTTTCAGCTTTCTACATATGGCTAGCCAGTTTTCCCAGCACCATTTGTTGAATAGGGAATCCTTTCCCTATTTCTTGTTTGTGTCAGGTTTGTCAAAGATCAGATAGTTGTAGATGTGTGGTATTACTTCTGAGGGCTCTGTTCTGTTCCATTGGTCTATATCTATGTTTTGGTACCAGTAGCATGCTGTTTTGGTTACTGCAGCCTTGTAGTATAGTTTGAAGTCAGGTAGTGTGATGCCTCCAGCTTTGTTCTTTTGGCTTAGGATTGACTTGGCAATGCGGGCTCTTTTTTGATTCCATATAAACTTTAAAGTTGTTTTTTTCCAATTCTGTGAAGAAAGTCATTGGTAGCTTGATGGGGATGGCATTGAATGTATAAATTACCTTGGGCAGTATGGCCATTTTCACGATATTGATTCTTCCTATCCATGAGCATGTAATGTTCTCCCATTTGTTTGTGTCCTCTTTTATTTCACTGAGCAGTGGTTTGTAGTTCTCCTTGAAGAGATCCTTCACGTCCCTTGTAAGTTGGATTCCTAGGTATTTTATTCTCTTTGAAGTAATTGTGAATGGGAGTTCACTCATGATTTGGCTGTCTGTTATTGGTGTCTAAGAATGCTTGTGATTTTTGCACATTGATTTTGTATCCTGAGACTTTGCTGAAGTTGCTTATCAGCTTAAGTAGATTTTGGGCTGAGTCAATGGGGTTTTCTAGATATACAATAATGTCATCTGCAAACAGGGACAATTTGACTTCCTCTTTTCCTAATTGAATACCCTTTATTTCTTTCTCCTGCCTGATTGCCCTGGCCAGAACTTCCAACACTATGTTGAATAGGAGTGGTGAGAGAGGGCATCCCTGTCTTGTGCCAGTTTTCAAAGGGAATGCTTCCAGTTTTTGTCCATGGAGTATAATATGGGCTGTGGGTTTGTCATAAATAGCTCTTATTATTTTTAGATACATCCCATCAATACCTAATTTATTGAGAGTTTTTAGCATGAAGGGCTGAATTTTGTCAAAGGCCTTTTCTGCATCTATTGAGATAATCATGTGTTTTTTGTCTTTGGTTCTGTTTATATATGCTGGATCACGTTTATTGATTTGTGTATGTTGAACCAGCCTTGCATCCCAGGGATGAAGCCCACTTAACCATGGTGGATAAGCTTTTTGATGTGCTGCTGGATTTGGTTTACCAGTATTTTATTGAGGATTTTTGTGTCAATGTTTATCAGGGATATTGGTCTAAAATTCTCTTTTTTTGTTGTGTCTCTGCCAGGCTTTGGTGTCGGGATGATGCTGGCCTCATAAAATGAGTTAGGGAGGATTCCCTCTTATTCTATTGACTGGAATAATTTCAGAAGGAATGGTACCAGCTCCTCCTTGTACCTCTGGTAGAATTCGGCTATGAATCCATCTGGTCCTGGACTTTTTTTTGGTTGGTAAGCTATTAATTATTGCATCAATTTCAGAGCCTGTTATTGGTCTATTCAGAGATTCAACTTCTTCCTGGCTTAGTCTTGGGAGGGTGTATGTGTCAAGGAATTTATCCATTTCTTCTAGATTTTCTAGCTTATTTGCGTAGAGGTGTTTATAGTATTCTCTGATGGTAGTTTGTATTTCTGTGGGATCGGTGGTGATATCCCCTTCATCATGTTTTATTACATGTGTTTGATTCTTCTCTCTTTTCTTCTTTATTAGTCTTGCTAGCGGTCTATCAATTTCATTGATCTTTTCAAAAAACTGGCTCCTGGATTCATTGATTTTTTTAAGGGTTTTTTGTGTCTCTATCTCCTTCAGTTCTGCTCTGATCTTAGTTATTTCTTGCCTTCTGCTAGCTTTTGAATGTGTTTCCTCTTGCTTCTCTAGTTCTTTTAATTGTGATGTTAGGGTGTCAATTTTAGATCTTTCCTGCTTTCTGTTGTGGGCATTTAGTGCTATAAATTTCCCTCTACACACTGCTTTGAATGTGTCCCAGAGATTCTGGTATGTTGTGTCTTTGTTCTTGTTAGTTTCAAAGAACGTCTTTATTTCTGCCTCCATTTCGTTACGTATGCGGTAGTCATTCAGGAGCAGGTTGTTCAGTTTCCATGTAGTTGAGTGGTTTTGAGTGAGTTTCTTAATCCTGAGTTCTAATTTGATTGCACTGTGGTCGGAGAGACAGTTTGTTATAATTTCTGTACTTTTACATTTGCTGAGGAGTGCTTTACTTCCAACTCCGTGGTGAATTTTGGAATAGGTGTGGTGTGGTGCTGAGAAGAATGTATATTCTTTTGATTTGGGGTGGACCGTTCTGCAGATGTCTATTAGGTCTGCTTGGTGCAGAGCTGAATTCAATTCCTGGATATCCTTATTAACTCTCTGTCTCATCGATCTGTCTAATGTTGACCATGGGGTGTTAAAGTCTCCTATTATTAATGTGTGGGAGTCTAAGTCTCTTTGCAGGTCTCTAAGGACTTGCTTTATGAATCTGGGTGCTCTTGTATTGGGTGCATATATATTTAAGATAGTTAGTTCTTCTTGTTGAATTGATCCGTTTACCATTATGTAATGGCCTTCTTTGTCTCTTTTGATCTTTGTTGGTTTAAAGTCTGTTTTATCATAGACTAGGATTGCAACCTCTGCCTTTTTTTGTTTTTCATTTGCTTGGTAGATCTTCCTCCATCCCTTTATTTTGAGCCTATGTGTGTCTCTGCACACACACATAGGCTCAAAATAAAGGTGAGATGGGTTTCCTGAATACAGCACACTGATGGGTCTTGACTCTTTATCCAATTTGCCAGTCTGTGTCTTTTAATTGGGTAATTTAGCCCATTTACATTTAAGGTTAATATTGTTATGTGTGAATTTGATTCTGTCATTATGATGTTAGCTGGTTATTTTGCTCGTTAGTTGATGCAGTTTCTTCCTAGCCTCGATGGTCTTTACAATTTGGCATGTTTTTGCAGTGGCTGGTACCAGTTGTTCCTTTCCATGTTTAGTGCTTCCTTCAGGAGCTCTTTTAGGGCAGGCCTGGTGGTGACAAAATCTCTCAGCATTTGCTTGTCTGTAAAGGATTTTATTTCTCCTTCACTTATGAAACTTAGTTTGGCTGGATATGAAATTCTGGGTTGAAAATTCTTCTCTTTAAGAACGTTGAATATTGGGCCCCACTCTCTTCTGGCTTGTAGAGTTTCTGCCGAGAGAGCAGCTGTTAGTCTGATGGGCTTCTCTTTGTGGGTAACCCGACCTTTCTCTCTGGCTGCCCTTAACATTTTTTTCTTCATTTCATTTTCTTTATCCATTTGTCTCCTGATGGACGCGTAAGTTGCTTCCAGATTTTGGCCATTGTGACTAGTGCTGCCATAAACATAGGAGTGCAGATATCTCTTTGATATACTGATTTCTTTTCTTTTGGTTACATGGGTATACACCTAGCAGTGGGATTGCTGGATCATGTGGTAGCTCTATTTTTAGTACTTTTTAGGAACCTCCAAGCTGTTCTCCAAAGTGGTTGTACTAATTTACATTCCCACCAACAGTGGCCAAAGGCTCCCTTTTCTCTGCATCATTGCCAGCATTCGTTATTGGCTATCTTTAGGATAAAAGCCATTTTAATTGGGTTGAGATGATATCTCATTATAGTTTTTTATTTTCATTTCTTTGATGATCAGTGATATTGAGCATTTTTTCATATGTCTATTTGTCATTTGTTTGTCTTCTTCTGAGAAATGTCCTATTCAAATTTTTGCCCATTTTTAAATCAGATTATTGTATTTTTCCTATAGAGTTGTTTGAGGTCCTGTATCTGGTTATTAATCCCCTAACAGATGGATAGTTTGTAAATATTTTCTGCCATTCTGAGGGTTGTCTCTTCACTTTGTTGATTGTATCCTTTGCTGTGGAGAAGCTTTTTAACTTGATGTGATCCTATTTGTCTATTTTTCCTTTAGTTGTCTGTGCTTGTAGGGTATTACTCAAGAAATCTCTGCCCATTCCAATATCCTGGAGAGTTTCCCCAAGGAAACATCATGTTGAATGGGGAAAAGCTGAAAGCATTTTCCCTGAGAACTGGAATAAGACAAGGACTCACACTTTTACCACTTCTATTCCACATAGTAGTTGAAATTTTAGCCAGAGAAATCAGAGAAGAGAAAGTAATAAAATGCATCTAAATTGATAAAAAGGAGGTTAAACTATCTGTTTGCTGATGATACGGTCATGTATCTAGAAAACCCCAACGACTCATCCAAAAAGCATGTGGATCTGATAAATGAATTCAGTAACATTTCAGTATACAAAATCAGTGTTCACAAATCAGTAGCATGGCTCTACATCAACAGTGACCAAGCTGAGAAGCAAATCAAGAACTCAATCCCTTTTACAACAGTTGCAATAAAATAAAATAATAAAATAAAATAAAATAAAATAAAATAAAATAAAATAAAATAAAATAAAACTTAGGAATATACCTGACCAAGGAGGTGAAAGACCTCTACAAGGTAAACTACAAAACACTGCTGAATAAAATCATAGATGACACAAAGAAAAGGAAACATATTCCATGCTCATGGATGAGTGGAATCAATATTCCGAAAATGACCATACTTCTCAAAGCAATCTACAGATTTAATGCAATTCCCATAAAAGTACCATCATGATTCTTCATAGAACTAGAAAATACAATTCTAAAATTCATATGGAACAAAAAAAGAGCCTGCATAGCCAAAACAAGGCTAAGAAAAAGGAACTAATTTGGAGGCATCACATTACCGAACTTTAAATTATACTACAAGGCTATGGTTAACAAGACAGCATGCTACTGGTGTACAAATTGGCACGTAGACCAATGGAACAGAATAGAGAACTCAGAAATAAAGCCAAATTCTTTCAGGCAACTGATCTTTGACAATGCAAACAAGAACGTAGAATGGAGAAAGAAGGAACCCTGCTCAACAAATGATGCCAGAATAATTGGCAAGTCATATGTAGAAGAGTGAAACTGGATCTTCATCTCTTACCTTATACAAAAATAAAGTCAAGATGGATCAAATACTTAAATCTGAGACCTGAAACCATAAAAATTCTAGAAGATAACATCAAAGAAACACTTCTCAGCATTGGCTTAGGCCAAGAGTTGATGACCAAGGACTCAAAAGCTAATGCAGGCCAGGCATATAATCACACATATAATCCCAGCACTTTGGGAGGCCAAGTTGGCGGATCACGAGGTCAGGATTTCAAGACCAGCCTGGCCAACATGGTGAATCCCCATCTCTACTAAAAATACAAAAATTAGCTAGGCATGGTGGCACGTGCCTGTAGTCCCAGCTACTTGGGAGCCTGAGGCAGGAGAATCACTTGAACCTGGGAGGCAGAGGTTGCAGTGAGGGCAGATCGCCCCACTGCACTCCCTGCCTGGGCGACAGAGTGAGACTCCATCTCAAAAAAAAAAAAAAAGAAAAGAAAAGAAAGAAAAAGTAAATGCAACAAAACAAAATAAATAGATGAACCCAATTAAACTAAAAATTTATACACAGCAAAAGAAATAATCAGCAGAGTAAATGTACATCCCACAGAGTGGGAGAAAAGAGAAAATATTTGAAAACTATGCATTCAACAAAGGACCAATATCAAGAATCTACAGGTAACTCAAACAAATCAGTAAGAAAACAACCCCATGTAATCCCATCAAAAAGTGACCAAAGGACATGAATAGACAACTCTCAAAAGAAGATCTACAAATAGCCAACAAACGTATGAAAAAAAAGATCAACATTGCTAATTGTCAGGGAAATGTAGATTAAAATTACAATGAGATTCCACCTTACTCCTGCAAGAATGGCCATAATTTAAAAATTTAAAAGTAGATGTTAGCATGGATGTGGTGAAAAGGAAACACTTTTACACTGCTGTTGGGAATGTAAACTAGTACAAACACTATGGAAAGTAGTATGGAGATTCCTTAGAGAACTAAAAGTAGAACTACCATTTTATCCAGTAATCCCACTACTGGGTATCTACCCAGAGGAAATAAGTTGTTATGTGAAAAAGACATTTGCACACACATGTTATAGCAGCGCAATTCACAATTCCAAAAATATGGTATCAGCTTTAATGTCCATCAACCAATGAGTGGATAATCAAAATGTGGTATACGTACACCATGGAATACTACTCAGCAATGAAAAGAAATGAAATAATGGCATTCACAGCAACCTGGATGGAGTTGGTGATCATTATTCTAGGTGAAGTAACTGAGGAATGGAAACCAAATGTCTACGTTCTCACTTATAAGTGGAAGCTAAGCTATGAGGACACAAAGGGATAAGAATCATGTAATGGACTCTTGGGACTTGGAGAGATGGTAGGAGAGGAGAGAGGGATAAAATACTATTGGGTACAGTGTATACTGCTCAGGTGACGGGTACACCAAAATCTCAGAAATTACTGCTAAATAACTTCTTTGTGCAACTGAAAACCACCTGTTTCTCCAAAACTATTGAAATAAAATAAAATAAAATAATAATATGTCATGCTACTCTTTCATGGCCTGTAAGGTTTGCACTGAAAATTCTGCTGTCAGACATACTTGAGCTCCATTCTATGTTATTTGTTTTTTTTCTCTTGCTGCTTTTAGGGTTCTTTCTTGATCCTTGACATTTGGGAATTTGATTATTAAATGACTTGAGGTAGTCTTGTTTGTAGTAAATCTGCTTGGATTTCTGTATCCTTCTTGTAATTGAATGTTGTTATCTCCTCTAGATTTGGAAAGTTCTCTGACATTATCACTTTTATTAAACTGTCTACCCTTATCTCTTACTCTACCTCCTCTGTATGGCCAATAACTCTTAGATTTGCCCGTTTGAGACTATTTTATAGATCTTGGAGGTATGCTTTATTGTTTTTTATTAATTTTTTTATATCATCCAACTGCATATTTTCACGTAGCTTTTCTTCAAGCTCACTAATTTTTCCTTCTGCTTGATCAATTCTGATATTAGGAAAGTGTGATGCAATCCTCAGCATTTCAATTGCATGTTTCAACTCTAGAAAGTCTACTTGATTTTTTAAATTATTATAATCTCTTTGTTAAATTTATCTGATAGAATTCTGATTTCCTTTCCTGTGTTCTCTTGAATTTCTTTGAGTTTCCTCAACTCAGCTATTTTGAATTTTCTGTCTGAAAGGTCATATATCTCTGTTTTTCCGGGATTGGTCTCTTGTGCCTTGTTTTGTTTATTTGGTGATTTTCTTTTATCAGAGCATAATTGAAGGAGATAGAGACATGAATAACTCTTGAAAAAAATGAATGAATCCAGGAGACATTGTTTTGAAAAAATTAATAAAATAGACTGCTAGTTAGACTAATAAAGAAGAAAATAGAGAAGAATCAAATACACACAATCGGAAATAAGGGGATATCACCACTGACCCCACAAAATATAAACAATCATTAGAGAATACTATAAACACCTTTATGACCATAAACTAGAAATTCTAGAAGAAATAATTAGATTCCTGGAAACATACACCCTCCCAAGACTGAAACAGGAAGAAATGGAATCCCTGAATAGACCAATAGTGAGTTCTGAAATTGAGGCAGTGATAAATAGCCTACCAACCAAGAAAAAGCCCAACACCAGATGGATTCACAGCTGAATTCTTCCAGAGCTACAAAGAAGAGCTGGTAACATTTCTATGGAAACCATTACAAAAAGTTGAAAAGAAGAGACTCCTGTCTAACTCATTCTTTGAGGCCAGAACCATCCTGATATCAAAACATAGCAGAGATACAAGAGAAAAAGAAAACTTCAAGTCAGTATCTTTGGTGAACATCGATAACAAAAATCCTTAATAAAATACTGGCAAACTGGATCCAGCAGCACATCAAAATCTCATCCACCACTATCAAGTTGGCTTCATTTCTGGGATGCAGGATTTGTTCAACATACACAAATCAATAAATGTGATTCATCACATAAAGAGAATAAAGACAAAAACCACATGATTATCTTAATAGATGCAGAAAAGGCCTTTGATAAAACTCAACATCTCTTCATGTTAAAAACACTGCATAAACTAGGTATTGAAATAACATACTTCAAAATAATGAGAGCCATGTATGACAAACCCACAGCCAATATTGTACTGCATGAACAAAACCTGGAAGCATTCCCCTTGAAAACCAATCAAGACAAGGATGCCCTCTCTCACCACTTCTATTCAACATGGTATTGGAAATTCCGGCCAGGGCAATCAAGCAAGAAAAAGAAATAAAGCATATTCAGATAGGAAGAGAGGAAGTCAAATTACCATGTTTGCAGATGACATGATCCTATATCTAGAAAATCTCACTGTCTCAGACCAAAAGCTTCTTAAGCTCATAAACAACTTCAGCAAACTCTGGGGATACAAAATCAATGTGCAAAAATTGCCAGCATTCCTATACACCAACAACAGGTAAGCTGAGAGCCAAATCATGTGTAAGCTCCTATTCACAATTGTTACAAAGGGAATAAAATACCTAGGAATACAGCTAACATGGGAAGTGAAGGATCTTTTTAAGGAGAAGTACAAATCACTGCTCATATAAGAGAGGACACAAACAAATGGAAAAACATTCTATGCTCATGGATAAGAATCAATATCATGAAAATAGCCATTCTGCCCAAAGTAATTTATAGATTCAATGCTATTTCCATTAAACCACCATTGACATTCTCCGCAGAATTAGAGAAAACTATTTTAGAATTCATACGGAACCAAAAAAGAGGTCAAATAGCCAAGAAAATCCTAAGCAGAAAGAACATAGCTGGAGGCATCATGCTACCTGACTTCACACTATAGTCCGGGGCTACAGTAACCAAAATATCATGGTACTGATACAAAAAATGGACACACAGATGAATAGAACAGAATAGAGAACTCAGAAGTAAGACCACACACCTACAGCCATCTGATATTTGACAAACCTGACAAAAACAAGCAATGGAGAAAGGATTTCCTATTTAATAAATGGTGCTAAAAGAACTGGCTAGCCATATGCTGCAAATTGAAACAGGACCTTTTTCTTACATCATATTCAAAAATTAATGGAAGATGGATTAAAGACTTAAATGTAAAACCCAAAACTATAAAAACCCTAGAAGAAAATTTAGGCAATACCATTTAGGACACAGGCATGGACAAAGATTTCATGATAAAAACACTGAAAGCAATTTCAACAAAAGCCAAAACTGACAAATGAGATCGAATTGAACTAAAGAGCTTCTGCACAGCAGAAGAAACTTTCGTCAGAGTGAACAGGCAACCTACAGAATGGGAGAAAATTTTTGCAATCTATCCATCTGACAAAGGACTAATATCCAGAGTCTACAGGAACTTAAATTTACAAGAAAAAAAAACAACCTTATTAAAAAGTAGGCGAAGGACATGAACAGACACTTCTCAAAATAAGACATAAATGCAGAAGACAAACACAAGAAAAAAAGCTGAACCTCACTGATCATTAGAGAAGTGGAAATCAAAACCACAATGAGATAATGTCTGTTGGGGGCAGTATAAATTAGTTCAACTATTGTGGAAGACTGCGGCGATTCTTCAAAGACTGAGAGGCAGAAATACCATTTGACTCAGCAATCTCATTACTGGGAATATACCTAAATGAATATAAATCATTCTGTTATTAAGCAGGGAAATACATTCATGTGTATATTTGTTGCAGCATTATTTACAATAGCAAAGACGTGGAATCAGCCCAAATGCCCCTCAATGATAGACTAGATAAAGAAAATGTGGTACATATACACCATGGAGTACAATGCAGCCATAAAAAGGAATAAGATTATGTCCTTTGCAGGGACATGAATAGAGTTGGAAGCCATTATATTCAGCAATCTACCCCTAGAACAGAAAACTAAATATCGCATGTTCTCACTTGTAAGTGGGAGCTGAACGATGAGAACACGTGGACACATGGTGGAGAACAACACACACTGGGGCCTTGTTGGAGGCAAGACGTTGGGGGAGGGAGAGCATCAGGAAGAATAGCTAATGGATACTGGGCTTAATACGTAGGTGATGGGATGATCTGTTCAGCAAACCAAAATTGCACTTGTTTACCTATGTAACAAACCTGCACATGCTGCACATGTACCACTTAACTTAAAAGTTGGTGAAAAGAAAAAAAATCTAATAAAATTGGTACCTGCCTTTTGTTTGGATTGAATGGACATACATTCACATGTAATGTCATTATTGATATGGTAGAATTGATACCTTGATACCTGCCATTTTGTATTTTGCTATGTTTCTCATGTCTGTTTTATTCCCGATCCCCATGTTTTTAAAAATACTTTTTATTGAATGAATATTTGCTAGTGTAAAAAAAGAACTAAATAAATGAGGTATAATAATTATAAATAATATATAAATTATATATATTATATATGATACATTATATTATATTGTTATTATTTAATAATAACTAAAGTTTAAGTAGTGCTTATCTATGTGCCTTGTGTTATACATATTTTAACTCATTTAATCTTTACAACCCAAGAAGGTAGGAACTATTATTATTATTAGACTCATTTTACAGATGAGAAAATTGAGAAATATAATTTGACCATGGTTATATGGTTATATAGCCAGCAAAAAAGCTGACTTGGGGCTTGACCCCAGCAACACAGCTTCAGAGGCCATAACCTTTACTACTGGTAGACATTAACTCCAGTGCATAGGAAAGACTATAAATGTTTGTTGTTAGGCTGATAGACGGATGCTAAAATAGAGTATCATTTAAGAATAGTGGCTCATGCCTATAATCCCAGCACTTTGGCAAACTAAGGCAGGAGGATCACTTGAGCCCAGGAGTTCAAGACCAGCCTGGGGAAGATGATGAGACGTTATCTTTAAAAAACAAACAAACAACAACAATAAAAAACACACAAAACTCCCCACAAAAAGCCCCAAATTAGTTAGGCATGGTGGCCTGTGCTTGTAGTTCCAGCTACTCAGGAGGCTGAGGCGGGAGGAGCTCTCGAGCCCAGGAGTCTGAGGATGCAGTGAACTGTGATCATGTCACTGCACTCCAGCCTGGGTGAGAGAATGAGACCCAGTTTCTAAATAAAAAAATAAAAACAGTATCACTTCCGTAGCATTTTGTTTATACAACAGGGGAAACAGCCTACCAAATTCTTCAAGAGAAGGGAAGGAAGAAGTAAGGATATTCACAATTTTTTTAGATGATCTCTTTTTGATTCGTATGAAGTTAAAAGTATTTTGGATGTTTTTAGATAATTATAGCTTTTAAATGTGTGATGCTGAGAAATAGTAATAGTGCCCTTGGAGCCTTTTTATTGAATGTTTTATTCTTTTTTTGTTTATTTAATCAAGAAACATTTAGTGTCACTAAAAAATGTGCTATTGAATTTGACATGAAATGTAAGCTAATTTGCACAATTCTGTTTTTTCAATATTCTTTTAAAATTTTTTTATTTTACTTTCAGTTCTGGGATACATGTGCAGAATGTGCAGGTTTGTTACATACGTATACATGAACTATCACAATTTTTTGGTGTCACATAAGCACTATAAATCTGGCAACAGATGGGAGTATTGAAAATATATTTCATTCATTAGAAAATATATTTATTTGGCGGGGCGCGGTGACTCACGCCTGTAATCCCAGCACTTTGGGAGGCCAAGGTGGGCGGATCACGAGGCCAGGAGATCTAGACCACGGTGAAACCCCGTCTGTACTAAAAAAATACAAAAAATTAGCTGGGCGCGGTGGCGGGTGCCTGTGGTCCCAGCTACTCAGGAGGATGAGGCAGGGGAATGGCGTGAACCCGGGAGGCAGAGCTTGCAGTGAGCCGAGATCGCTCCACTGCACTCTAGCCTGGGTGACAGAGTGAGACTCTGTCTCAAAAAAAAAAAAAAAAAAAAAAAAAAAGAAAATATGTTAATTTATAGGAACATTAATGTAGAATAATTAGATTTCCTACAATTCAAATGTGCAATTTGCCTTTTTCTATTGAGATCTACAATCTATGTGTCATAACATGGAAAACATAGTTACCTTGGGAGTATGGTAAATATTATTGGGGATCTATATGTCTCTGTCTAGACAATGTTCCTTTCTTCTTGTTCCATACCTTGTCTTACTCATCTTGATTTTTCTCCTTTCTCTTTACCTTTTGCATAGTGTATTTCTCCCTGTTATCACCATTATTATTCTCAGTCTCAATATAACTACATAATTGTTTTTGAAGTAGGTAATGGGATGCTGAGATATTTATAACTTAGAAAAGCAAGGCTGGATCATCCTGCCCACCATTACCCTTACTATTTTGGAGGCAGCTTCCAAATATGAATAGTTCTACAATTCGTCTCACTGACAATCTCACAGGATAAAGAATACAGAGAAATGCCTTGTGCACAGTGTCCTTCCACATACTTCATGGTGAGGGGTGTAAATGAGCAGGTGAGGTTCTTGAGGGCCTCTTAAAGTTAATAATAAGGCTATAAATATAACCCAGCAATTCTGACTTCAAGTTCTGTGGTATTTTAGTAGCACTACCTTAAAATGGTCCCTATTTATATACAAGGGATAGTTCTTGCCATACTGAACCAAAGTAGATGACGTTAAGATTCATTTGATTTTAAAAAGTATGAACATAAATTGATTGGAATCCTACTTGTAGACATTTCTCTAGGGTTAATGAATAATTTTCCTAACTCTGCTATTTAAATTCACACATCTCTCACAACTCATGTTCAAAATTTACTTCAAGTTTATCAAGGTGATTTTTAATGCCATATCCAAATCTGTTCAACTGGTACTAGGAGCAATTATGTCCTTTTTAAAGAATTTCTCTGTCTTTACATTCAACATTGCAAAAGAATTAACTTTTAGACTAAAAGTAGAACTCTGAAGAATGGATATTATGTCAATTAGAGCTATTATAATTGGAGATAATCTGCTTATTCTCTGCCTCAGTAGCATTAGCATTTGCTGGAAGAGAAAGGTTATACAGGCCATTTCTGTTCTTGTATTTTACTTTAATATGCTGAGATACACATTTTTTTCTATAAAACTAATGTCAAAAGTGGTCATGAAAACTTAAGCATTAAAAGTCAAAGTCTACTTTTTGATAGCAAAGAGAAGAAAATGCATCTCACATTAAATATTAATCAAATTTAACTACCTGGAGACACTCTGTAATGATTTTGTGAAAGTTAGTACTTGATCAAGGTTTTAATGGACATATTTCTACTTCTATATCGTTTCTGAGATTATAAATTGTATCCACCTTTATTAGAAACAGGAACATCTTTAGCAAAAGCAATATTTGAAAAATATTTATACAACACAGAAAGGTGAACAAAAGTAAAAGCCAGCTTTGTATTTTTAGGCTTTGCTAAATAAAGAATATAGAACTGATTACATGTGAGGTAAATTTAAGCATTGTATGGGTTGAAAATACTTTCAAGGCATAGTGTCAGCCCTACTGTCATGGAAGAACTTAACAACAAGGCTAAACAAAAAGAAAGCCTCAAGGTAGACAGATACTGTTAGACTCATTCATGCACTTATAACTGACATATTCATTCATTGATTAAAAATATGTGTCAGTCACTTACTGTTTGCAAAGACATTTACCATTCTGGGAGATACAATGGTGTGCAAAATAGAGGCTTTCTGAACACTCAAGGAGCTCTCTCATTCCTATGGTGATGGGTGATATTAAACACGTCATTAGAGACTTGTTTAATTGCAAATGTAATAACTGCTACAAACTTAAGAGCTGTGTATTCTGAGAACATATCAGAGCTGAAAGAGCTAATGAATTCAGGGAAGATTTGAGACCCAAAGGATTAACAAGAATTAGAGACTAAAGTGAATGAACAAACCCTGGTCAGAAAGCTTTTGACAAAGATAGTTCAATATTACACATAGTTTCTGAAGTGAGTTAATTTTTTACAGTTGTAATGACCTCAAAAACAGAGAGCTATTATGACTGAGATTATTAGTTTCTTACCCAGTATTCATTCATTCTTTCTTTCTTGCTAACAGAACCCAATTTTATTTAGAATATCAATGTGCCCAAGTAAAGCAACTACTTTTTTGGGGTTCCCTTGCAGCTTGAGGGTAGTTATTTGGCACAGTTTTAACCAATGCAAAGAAAATAGAAGTTACTAGATTAGGCTTTCAGAAAAGACTTCAGAAAAGGCTTTTATAGTTGTTAAACAATTTTTGGTTTTTACCCTTTCTCTTCTTTATTTTATTTTATTTTTTGCAAGAAGTAGAAAATAAAATTTTAATGGAGGATCAGAAATATAAATAATGACGTGCATATACAGATCATTATAAAGTCTAGATACTTCTTATGAAAAAATTTATAAAGTATAGATAATTTTAGCTAAATTCTGTATAACATTTTAAAAACAAAACAAAAAAAAATGGTAAAATTACTTCAACCTCTGGAAATAATACGTTGGTATTTACAACATCATAAGAAGTATACATTAAGTTTTCTTTTTCTTTTTTCTTTTTTTGCTCTTTGTCTTAGTTTTTTACTGTGCTCTACTTCTTTATTTATTTATTTATTTATTTATTTTTCTTTCCCTCCCCCCTCCCCCCTCCCCACCACAGTCCCCAGAGTGTGATATTCCCCTTCCTGTGTCCATGTGATCTCATTGTTCAATTCCCACCTATGAGTGAGAATACGCGGTGTTTGATTTTTTGTTCTTGCGATAGTTTACTGAGAATGATGGTTTCCAATTTCATCCATGTCCCTACAAAGGACATGAACTCATCATTTTTTATGGCTGCATAGTATTCCATGATGTATATGTGCCACATTTTCTTAATCCAGTCTATCATTGTTGGACATTTGGGTTGGTTCCAAGTCTTTGCTATCGTGAATAATGCCGCAATAAACATACGTGTGCATGTGTCTTTATAACAGCATGATTTATAATCCTTTGGGTATATACCCAGTAATGAGATGGCTGGGTCAAATGGTATTTCTAGTTCTAGATCCCTGAGGAGTCGCCACACTGACTTCCACAATGGTTCAACTAGTTGACAGTCCCACCAACAGTGTAAAAGTGTTCCTATTTCTCCACATCCTCTCCAGCACCTGTTGTTTCCTGACTTTTTAATGCTTGCCATTCTAACTGGTGTGAGATGGTATCTCATAGTGGTTTTGATTTGCATTTCTCTGATGGCCAGTGATGATGAGCATTTTTTCATGTGTTTTTTGGCTGCATAAATGTCTACCTTTGAGAAGTGTCTGTTCGTGTCCTTTGCCCACTTTTTGATGGGGTTGTTTGTTTTTTTCTTGTGAATTTGTTTGAGTTCATTGTAGATTCTGGATATTAGCCCTTTGTCAGATGAGTAGGTTGCGAAAATTTTCTCCCATGTTGTAGGTTGCCTGTTCACTCTGATGGTAGTTTCTTTCACTGTGCAGAAGCTCTTTAGTTTAATGAGATCCTATTTGTCAATTTTGGCTTTTGTTGCCATTGCTTTTGGTGTTTTGGACATGAAGTCCTTGCCCACGCCTATGTCCTGAATGGTAATGCCTAGGTTTTCTTCTAGGGTTTTTATGGTTTTAGGTCTAACGTTTAATCATGAGTGAACTCCCATTCACAATTGCTTCAAAGAGAATAAAATACCTAGGAATCCAACTTACAAGGGATGTGAAGGACCTCTTCAAGGAGAACTACAAACCACTGCTCAAGGAAATAAAAGAGGATACAAACAAATGGAAGAACATTCCATGCTCATGGGTAGGAAGAATCAATATCGTGAAAATGGCCATACTGCCCAAGGTAATTTACATATTCAATGCCATCCCCATCAAGCTACCAATGACTTTCTTCACAGAATTGGGAAAAACTACTTTAAAGTTCATATGGAACCAAAAAAGAGCCCACATCGCCAAGTCAATCCTAAGCCAAAAGAACAAAGCTGGAGGCATCACACTACCTGACTTCAAGCTATACTACAAGGCTACAGTAACCAAAACAGCATGGTACTGGTACCAAAACAGAGATATAGATCAATGGAACAGAACAGAGCCCTCAGAAATAACGCCGCATACCTACAACTATCTGATCTTTGACAAACCTGAGAAAAACAAGCAATGGGGAAAGGATTCCCTATTTAATAAATGGTGCTGGGAAAACTGGCTAGCCATATGTAGAAAGCTGAAACTGGATCCCTTCTTTACACCTTATACAAAAATCAATTCACGATGGATTAAAGATTTAAACATTAGATCTTCTTTATTTTTGAAATAAAAACATTATGACAGGAGCTACAGTCAATATCTTGAGAGAATATAAGGATGAGGGTCACAACCTAAATACGATGCAGCAAAAAACATGAAAGGACCTATAAATACTTGATGATATTATGGAGCTTGTATACCCCTAGATTCCTACTGTCATTTTTCACTAATTTGAGAGAATAGTGGAAAAATTACTCGATAAATTTGAAGGGTAAATTGAATCTTATCTGAGGAAATTTTGTCTTCCTTCTCATCGGACAGCTTTATCTTTTTCTTGCCCTTATGTAAGCAAAGTAGTAAATTTCAAATATATATGGTATATTTGTTCAGTGTGCTATTTATGTTTATGTATTTATGCAAATAATGAATAATAAAATAATTCAGAAGAGTAAGATATCACTTCTAGCTAGGGTTCTCAAGAATGCTTAATGAAAGAGATACTACTTGAACTGGCTTTTACAGTTGTAAATTTGCCTTCAAATTGAAAAGAGGCTTTGGATGCCAAGGAGAGTTTCCTGAAAGTTTTTCCCATAGGCACTGGGGATCCAATGAGGGTTTTTAGCAGTTTATGTCATTTTTAGTACAACAGTTTATTGGCTACTAGCATGCAAATGGTTGGGGACTAGAAGACCTAAAGCTAAAATAAGCAGTTAGTACAACTGCCACGTAATAAGTATTTTGGAGCTCATGCCAGGATCTTTTTGGTAGTAAAGGACAGAAAAGTCTAAGGTGAGAGAGGTTACAATAGATATAACCTTGGTCATTTTTAGATATGCGAGAGAAAGGTGAACAAAAGTAAAAGCCAGCTTTGTATTTTTAGGCTTGGCTAAATAAAGAATTTTTGTAAGTCAATGAGGAAAGAACACATCGTTTGGTAGTTGCAGGTAAGGGAAGATAATAAGTTTTATTTTAAGGCTATCTGAGGATAATGATGTGCAAATGTCCAGAACACAATTGAAACTTTGTGATTCAAATATGACTGGTATAATGTTATGCTGCAGGAATTAGGTTAAGTCTGTTGTGTTATTCCCTATGTGATTTTGACTATCAGCACTTTTTGTTATTATTTTACTGAGCTTTGAAGTATCATGTTTTCCAGTCAATTCTAATTCCTTTCATAAAACAGCATTGGCCTAAATGGTCTTTTCCAGTGTGCCAGGAGAAGATGGAAATAAAGTCAGTATTTTCCATTTTTACATACTACTTACAATTAATACTATAATTTTATATCTATATTAAAATACTTTTTCCTATCAAAATAACACATTCCTTTCTAAGTCATGTATTTTACGAGGCATATGTTTACAATGATGAATATTAGAGATGCTTAAAATGGCAAGGATGACCTTAGTAATTATAATTTGCAACATGTAAAACAAAGATAATTTGATTATCATCTGAAATGCCTTTCTTCTTTATAGAACCAAATTTAAGTAATTTGGATAAGCAGATTGGCAAATTGCTTAAACAAAGTTTTCTGAATATTTAGGCAAACATAACTATATTTATAGCCTATAAATTTTTTCACCATATATATTTGGTTAAAGATTTTGCTTGAAAGTTTTGATTGAAAGTTTGAAGTCTTCTTAAGTCACTTCAATGATAATGACAAGTTTCATTGTAAAAGAAGTTCTATATGACTTAAAATTATGTATTTAAGAATTTGAAATAAAATTTTAGACTAGAATATACTTAACTATGAAATAACAGCTAGAACAAGTTATAAGATATATATGCACAGAAATGGAAGAACATTTATTTCATAACTTGAAAGAGGAAGTAGTTCTGGCTTAATTGCTCAGAATTTTAACTCTAGTGTATTGCAAGAATTTCTTTCATATACCTCTTGCTATTAGACCTAGACCTACTGCATATTTTCGCAGGCCCTTCTCTCCAGTAAGAGTTTGTCTCCTAAGCAAAGACTGAGATTTCACTCTGCCTTTGTGGTCCTGTGCCCTCCATGTTGCCTTCCTGTGTTTTTTTTTTTTTTTTTTTTTTTGAGGTGGAGTCTCACACTGTTGCCAGTCTGGAGTGCAGTGGCACCGTCTCGGCTCACTGCAACCTCTGCCTCCTGGGTTCAAGCGATTCTCCTGCCTCAGCCTCCTGAGTAGCTGGGATTACAGGCACATGCCACCACGCCTGGCTAATTTTTGTATTTTTAGTAGAGATGGGGTTTCACCATGTTGGTCAGGCTGGTCTCGAACTCCTGATCTCGTGATCCAACCGCCTCGGCCTCCCAAAGTGCTGGGATTACAGGCATGAGCCACCACACCCAGTGGCCTTCCTGGTTTTTTGATTGAGAGTCTGAAGTTCCTTTTCCCTTCTTTCCCGTATATTCCACCCTTCAGTGTTTTCTACTTTAGCTTTGTATCTCATTTAGATTCAAAATATGGCAACTATCTTGAGTAAGAAGCTTGTAGTTGTTGTCAGTCATTGCTCTAGTGTGACTTTGTCTCCTAGGCATCACTAGATTACAGGAGATTTTACTCTGTCTTTCCAGTCCAGACCTCTATCCTTTGGCCTGCTTCAGTATTCAATAAATACTTCATAGTAAAGAATCAGTGATGCTGAGTTCAGGCTCCTCTGAGTTCAGGCTGAGGTTCAGGTTCAGAAGTTCAGGCTGCCTTCTCTCAGCCTTTATTCTCTCATAGTCATGCTGTACTATGTGACTTTCAAAAGACCCACAAATTCTTTCTTTTTCTCTTAGAATAATCTGTGACAATACCAGTCTTTAGTCCTTGCCCAGACTTAGTAAATGGCTATGCAAATGGAACACAGCTTGTAATCTCAATTTACATAGGAAGGTCTCTTCTACTTTTTGGAATTTAGCATAAAAATCCTCCTATTATTACCAATCTCTGTTATCTTTCAAACAATAATTTTAAAATTTTACTATTTCTGAAATTTAATGCAGAGGTTTATCAAAATGTACTGTTTATCAGTAATAGTTTATCAAGACTTACTCATTGGTGTAGCTATTTTGATTCCAGATAAAATATGTTAAAACAAAAAGCAATTTAGAAGTAAATAGTCATGGTCGGTCAATAGTTTTAAAATGTTTAATTAACCAGAATAATATGATAATTTAAATTTGTATGCACAGCTCCACATATATGCAAAGCAAATATTGACGTAAATAACTTTAAGGAGAAAAAGACAAATTCAAATGTAAAGATAAACCTATTCTATTTATTTAGATAGATCTATTCTATCTTAAGAGATCGAATAGAATAAACCACCTTATAATGTTGCTTACTAAGAAAAAATGAGAAATGGCTTAAATGAAAAATTTCAGAAATGAAAATAAGGACATCTCTACAGATTCTGAAAGCAAAAGGCAAACAGTTTGCATTATTAACAAGTTTGAAATTTGAAAACTTAGGTGAAATGGACAACAAATCTCATTAAAGAAAAAAAATCCAGAGTTGCTATCTTATCTTAAAATGTCCACTTTTCAAAAAAAAAACTTATTAGATATGTAAATATCAGCTATTAATTTTTTTTCAAAGAATTAATGGAACTTATGATTAAATAATTAAAGAAAAACATGCTAGCAGTGAGCCAATAGAGAATCTTAATAGATAATAGAAGCAAGCAAAGAAACAAAAGAACAAAAATAATTCTAGAGTTGTAAAGTACAAAAACATAAATAAAAAATTTACTAACTTGACTCAGGAGATTTGAGAGGGCAGAAGACATAATTAATTAACTGAAAGATAGATCAATAGAAATCATTGAATATGAGAAACACAGAACAGGATTGAACAATACGAGTAGTTTGAGACCTGTGGGTCAATGTCAAGTATTTTAGCATATGGATAATAAAAGACCCAGAAGGAGAGGTGAGAAAGAAAGGAGCAGAAAAAATATTTGAAGATATAATTGCTGAAAACTCTCCAAATGTAATAAAAAAAACCACTATATCCATGAATCCATGAAGTTCAGTGAACTCCAAGGTGAATACATTTAAGGAGAATTCACACTTAGATACATTATAGTCAAACTAGTGAAAGAGAACAAAGGTGACATCTTGAAAGCAACAAGAAAAAGGAAACTTATATAGTGGAAACAGTATCACTAATTGTAGGCTTCTCATCAGAATCAGTGGAGGTCAGAAATTAGTGAAAAGACATGCAAAAGGCTGAGAGTAAAAAATTTCAAGCAAAAAAATCTATATTTAGTAAAACTATTATTCAAAAATGAATATGAAATAAAAATATGTCTGGATCTTTTACCATTGCATGGTAAAGGAAAATTTTTTTCTGAGACTAAAACTTGAGGTCAATCTTTATTTGCAATATGCTACAACATGGGAGACAATTTAGGGATTGAATGCTCCATTGCTCCATTCCTTTCTGTGGCTGAGGGGTTTACTTGTTGCTGTTTTGTAACCAAAGTTTTTGAAGATCAGAACCTACATGCAGTTTCACATGTCTGAGATCAGAGAGTATACGAAATTTCATATGTCAAAATAGCAGTGAGCCTTGAATGAAATTGAAAAATTCTGAATTTGTATGAAATTAGGAGGTTTCATGCCTCCTGAAACCTCTTGATTCTGGAAAAATTCTGAATTTGTATGAAATCAGGAGGTTTCATACCTCCTGAAACCTCACGATTTCATACAAATTCACAGTTTTTCCAATTTCATTCAGTTGGAAATTCTGAATCCTTTTCATACAAATTCTGAATTTTGTATGAAATCAGACCAAGAAATGTTAATCTCTTGGTCTCTGGGGTTACAGGTCAGTCAGGCTTGAGTTTTAAGTGAGTTATTGCATGGGTATTGAGCAAGTAGAATTTTATAGAGACTTTGACTTGACAGAAATGAATAAAATCACAAAGTATGTGAAATGGTTTTGCCAAAATACAAACAGGCTGACCCACCTTCCTTTGAAGTAGGTTGAAACCAGTGAATTCTTTTTAAACTTCCTGGAACACTGTCTTTATGTGATTCTCAACAACTTAACTACTTTTGATTTGTTTGTAGCTTAAAATACTAGGGAATTCCGTTTTGATATCCCATTAGCATCTCTCTTCAGGCAAGGGAGATATCACTGAGGGGTTCGTAAGTCCTATACCCAATAAAGATATTAATGCCAATGGCAATGATGATAGCAATGAAAGCCAACACTGCTACTCCTTATGTGTCAGAAAACATTTTAAGAATTTTATGCACATTAATCATACAAATTCTATGCTTCTTTATGTTATTTTAGGGTAGGGCTTTGGTTTTCCAGATGAGGAAGTCAGGACACTAAGCCTATGACCAGGATTCATGTTCTAGCTAAAAAATGAGACCAGGAAGATGAGAGCCAGACATTTTTAGCTTTTGTGTTGGGACCCAGATTCTCTGCTGTATAATGTGGAATTTCCCAAATGCAAGAACAGGATTTAAATATTGGTATGAGAAAAAAGTCATGCAATAAGCCAAAAAGAGAAAAAAAAAACCACCAAAAAACCATGAGAAATGTCTATTATATCCATTCTTCATGTCCCTTCTTTATTTTCTATGATGTATAAAGAATCGCCAACAAATTTGATGATCTCATCTACAAATACTATTTTTCCCTGACAATGGTATTCAGCTCATTTAGGGTACTATATGGTATATAGGTGTTGTTTAAATTATTGTTATTAGACAGAGTTTCAGATTTGTCCTATTAATCATCAGCTTAGGATATTTACTTGAAATGTTAATCTCTTGGTCAGATAAAATTAGAATTTAAGATGAGTAGGAAGAGGAGGGAACATCAGTAAAGTAGACAAGAAGGGAATAAGTTTCAGAGAAGAATAAATATACATAGCAGCAGGTGGTCATGAACAAGGGTAGTATACATTGGATTGGTAAGAGAGGCAGTGAATCTACTGGAATTTAAGGAACTAGTTTGACAAACTTTTCCAGGTGTGAACAAACTATTGTTGAAGAACACTGATCACTGATGCAGTTTCTTGTCTTTGCTTCAAGTTATTAAAAAAAATAGTTTCTGTGTGGCAGTAGCCAAACTTATCAATTATATCCAGTCTAGGCACTGGAAGAAGAAATAGATGGTGACACCACGTAGGGTGTTACAGGAAATGGGAACAATAATGTCTTCTGATAAGAAAACTAAAGTGTATAGTAGGCACAATCAAGATCTTCGCAAAGCTTTCCTATTTACACTAGGCATATTGTATGCACAGGATCTCTTTGTGTTTTTATAATCTCTTCCGGTTTCTTTTCACATACCATAGAGGCAGCCCCAAAAGATACACAAATAATCCATGGAAATATTGCCTCTGTTGCTTATTTTCAGCCTAGTTTTACTGTATATACTCTTGATGCAGACAAAAAGAAAATGGTGTCCAGCATTTCTTTGATGACTTACCTATCATGACATTTCATGTTTAACATGGGACTCAAACCAGAAGTGGGGTTTTCATGTAAGAATCCCCTCCCCTAGTCATGATCTTACCATATTTTGTGATTCTTTGGAAGTGGAAGATAATGTTGTTAGCATATGCTTGAGGGTGATAATATGGATGTAAGGAACAAGAAAAAATGTGTTTTCTAAAATATGGCTCCTAGAGGGACTTCAAAAGTATGCTTTCTCAGCATCCAAATTTGTTTGACTTATTTGAAACTTTAAAATACTTCCCTGTTAGCTCAAACCCTGATTGGTCAGGCTTTGTTTTTGCATTGAAATTAGCTTTTCTAGAATAGTAAGATTCACTTAACCCTTTTATAGAAACAGGTACCAAGCTAAGTACTTTACTCATTTTAACTAATTTAATCCTCAGAATAATATTATAAAATAAGTACTATCATTTTTCTCACTTTTCACATGCAAAAACTCAGGAACACAGAGGGTAAGTGGCTTGCTTAAGGTCACATAGCTAGTAAGCAGCAGATATTTGGAACCTAGGAAGTCTAGTGCCAGAGTCCACATGCTTAGCCATAACACTTTCCTGCCTACTGGGAAATCATTAACGCTTAAAAAGTTTTTGTCTTTATACATAATCTAGGTGAATAGATTTCAAAGGAATATGTTATAATTTGAGGAAAATGAGTTTAAAAAAGTTTTCACTGAGATAGTTAGCTAATTGTTTAAGGCATTACTTGTCCAACAAATATATGGCACTTATATTTCATTTAGTTTAGAATTAATTATTATATTTATTAATATCCATGTGGGTTCATGTTGATTAAAAATGTTACTATGACTGCAGTTCATATAAAGAACCATAAATGATGAAAGAGGAAGCCTTCTAACTTAATTGTAATCTATTAAAGATGAAATAAGCAGTCTCATTTTGTAGAATAAGTAAAACAATGTTCACTTACAACAATAAAGCAGGAATAGTTCTGCTGCTTAGGAAAACAGGTAATCATTGCTCTCATTCTTATAAGCAATTTGATTTTCAGGATTAAATTGAATATATTTGATCTATATCATGAAAGCTATTTTTTAAAGAATATGATCCTAAAGTTCATACTTGTGTTTATTTTACTTTAATTTTGGCAAGTAAATTTACATTTTTATTAGGCAGGCTAGATTTAAGAATTCCTTTTTAAGTTTCTATTTTTAATGTTTAATTAATAAAAGTATTAGGATTTTTCTATTCATTGCTTACTGTAACCATCCATCTGGTATCTTCTTGGATATTTTCAGTATAAGATATATTTATGCTCATCTATTAAATTTTTTTTCAGGTTATTCCAGCGCCAGGCAGCTATGATGTTCACAAATCATATGAGATGTCCCAAGTTAAGCATAAATATATGCCACCTCGTAGTTTAGTGGCTAAAAGAAAACATGCCTCTTTTCTTAGTGCAACTCCTCGGTGCCTAGAAAAAGTGACTGATGGGCCAGGTAAGTCTAGAAGTCCTTATAAAGCTATGAGGAAAAAAATTCTAAGGTTTCCATATTAAAATATCTAGAATCATTGATAGGTTCTTGGAGACTGAAAAGTTAAGCAAAATAATGTATAACAAAACCATTTTTCTCATCAGTGCTGTAACAAAATAACATTGAACTAAACAACATTATTTGAGGACCTGCTGTGTTGTACATCATTTTGCTTAAAGTTGCAGTTTCCGAGAAACCATCCATGATGTTATGTGAGGACTTACTGTGATTGTAAACAACATTTGCATTTACCCTGACTCTCTTAAGTGTGTAGGTCAAAAACCAAAAAGGAAAATACTTATTCAGTAAAAGACTTAAGTTATTTTTTTCAAACGTAAGAAGATTTTGGGGGAGGGTGGGTTATGTCTCTTAATTTTACCAAAGACAATTTTACCAGTTTTACTAAAGCTAATAAAGTCATTCAGCATTCTATTAGGGAAAAAAACAGAACTCATAACATGCTAAAGTTGTTAGAGGAGAAAGGCACTTTACCCTGATTTGGAAAATCAGTCATATAGAAGATATACATCAAGGCAGTTGTACAGAATTATTTTTATTTTTTTTCAAATATAAAGAAAGAAGCTATATTAAAAAGATAAACATTTATTTGAGCATTTACAATTCCAAAATTAATTTTAATTTTTAAAATTTGGATGGTCTTAGCTATCAGTAACAGCATTCTTGTTCTAAAGCAGTAACACTTGCTGGAAATGAAGATAAGTCAGTTATTATGCTATTTTACACAGGAAAACTAGATAGAGAACAGGAACAATCATTTTCAACAATAAATTACAGGTGTATTCCCACTAAACAACCATACCATTGTAATGAATTTTTATGAGAATATGGAGAAAAAAATGAAACAGAATGAAGAAACTCTTTTTTCCAAAGTTTTTAATGAAAAACTAAAACAGGAGAATATAACTTATCCAGCAAATAATACTTGGACAGCCTGAGATCCAGAGGTTTGCTTTGTTTCTCATTGCCTTTTAAGAATCAGGCATATTGCCAGCTTATAGATCCATTTTAAGTTGAAATTTCACTTTTTATTTTCTTTTTCTTCTCTTGAGTTATTACACCATGTTGATTTTGTGAGGTTTTAGCTTTGCTGTGAAGTAGGATTCAAACTCCTGTAGTGTGTCCCTGATTACACTCAACTGTGGTCACCCAGGGAAATAAGTTCTTTGAAGTTTCAGCACCATCACCATCATCAAGCACAATCAATTAAATAAGAAATAATATTAATCTCAGGGTCTTATGAAGTAAATTATGTTGAGTATCATATTTCCTGATATTTTTTGTCTGTATTCCTTTACTCTCCTCTGCATAAAAATTCTTACCGATGGAATGCAAAATAAGAGTTTCAGTTAAGTGCCAGGATTGACACTATGACTTTTCATTGCTTCAGTATTTAGCATAGGGCAAGTAAATTAGCTAATTGTTTCATTAGTTTCTGTTTTTCACAGTTGAGATATTTGCCACCTACTTGCCTCATGAGAATACAAAAGATTAATGAGAAATATATTTCAGAGTCATTTTCAGAACCTTTGAAGCTCCTTTGAAGTATAAGATCTTATCATAATATGAAACATGTTTCTTCCTAATGTTAAGCCAACACTAACTTCTAAAATAATTTGAGAGGTAAGGGAAATGTATTCATTTGGAAGACAGTTATTATTTGGAAGTCAAAGACATAGTGACTGTCAAAGTCACTGTACAACTGCAGAGTAGACAGCTTGTGAAATGAAAAGAGTTTATCATGTTGGTTAATACCAGTAATTCATGAAGTTTGCTATCGTGCATCTTAAAGTGGCCCATACTTCAAAGGGATAATAACAGAAACCCCATGTGCCTCTATTATCAACACATTGGAAAAAGCCATATGGACCTCTGAAGCTATTATCTGATACCATGATATATGAAATTTTGTATCTTCTGACATGTAGATATTGTAGTAATTATGGAATTATCCTTTTAAATTTAATCTGCTACCTTAAGGTATACCATCCAAAATTTTGCTCTAAAATAGATTTAGTAGGTGCCCAGGGCCAATTCAATTAATATCATGCCGTATTCTGGTAATTGAAGATTAACTTTCCTTTGTCTAGACTCTGTTACATTGATCTAATCAAGGACAAGATTTAAGTGCGATATTATCAAGTCTCTAAATAGATTCCTAATTTTTAAATAGAGTTTTACGTTTTTTTTGATCAATATAACCAAAAAATTGTCTATTCTTTTTAATATTAATATATACATATTAATATTGTTTTTGCTTTAAAATGAAAATAGCCTGTTTCTGTTTGTAATTTACACCCTAACTTTTGCTAGGGACAACTAATACATGACATCATTTGATTTTTAAAACATCATTGTATAATCAAAAGATTCAGTGATAATAATTCTATTTGTTATATGGTGTGGGGAATGTTTATCTTATGAATGATGGCCTTTCATATCATAATGTTCTTAGTAACAAAATAAGAAAAGAAGTTTCTTTACCCTATTATTTCTCTTTTAAACATTGGTAATTTTGTTTTGCTTTAATAGCAATGGAAAGACCTTTTTTGGTTGGATGCAGAATTTCTTATACATCAGATAAAATTATTTAGTATTGTTATATGTATATATGTGTGTACACATAAATAAAACTATAACATTGTCTGACTTAATTTGGAGAACATGATATGCATATTTGTTACTTGGGTCATGACATTACTAGAAAGAATGCTGTGCCTCATTGAACTTAAAAAACGCACATCGTTTTCTTTCTATCTATATAGAGAATTATTGGAAAATTAAAATTGATTACTGGATATCTTACATTTGTAGGTAAAAGTGTTAAGAACTGAAGTTGATGCATATGTGAATAATTGTAATCTCATGGGATTTATGGAACTTATAAGACATTCAATAACTCATGTTATAGCCATGTATTTATTTCAAATTATTTTACATCTTTATTTAGAAATATGAAAATGGTTTTATTTATAAGTAAAGTTTTTTGGAATATACTTAAGAGGGATAAAACTCATTTTCATTAGTCTAAATTAAAGAAGGAAATAGTACATCTAGACTCAGTATATTGTATACCCTTTAGTGTTGTGTGACTAATAAAACACGTTAGAATTGTCTAATGAAGAAATAATTAAATGAGGCTTATCACATTATAAAGCAGTCTTTTCTTATTACACCAAGTTTTAATTCATGGATATGTAATTGATTTTGTGATTGATCCAACTCCGGTAAGTGAAATTGTTAAGTGGAAAAGTATTTAAGCATCACTTTATCTCTCACATTGACCTGTTTTTAGTCATGGGTTGGGGGCAGGGGTATGCTCAACAAATTTAAAAAGAAAATAGATATAAACATTGTTGAGAGTGTGGAAAATTGAGGAGCCTCATACATTGTGTTGAAAGTATAAATTTATATCAGTGTTTCTTAAGGGCAGGTTGGCAAAATGTTTCAAGCATTCATGCCATTTGACCCTAGAATTCTGCTTCTAAGATCATCCTAAGGCTATTATTGATACCAAAACTTAAACATCAAGGACTTCATTAAAAAAGTAATAAAAACTCCAAAATGTCCTAAATGGAAAGAAAAGTGGAGTTTAGTTAATTTTGATAT
This sequence comes from Homo sapiens, assembly GCF_000001405.40. Lineage (NCBI taxonomy): Eukaryota > Metazoa > Chordata > Mammalia > Primates > Hominidae > Homo > Homo sapiens. Next base: position 97,837,109 of record NC_000004.12, on the reverse strand, counting down.
ATCAGCTGACTAGAGTCCTATGAAAATATTAGAAATGTTATATGGTTTTTTTAAACATGGGAAGATCTTGGTAACAAGATAGGATTAATCTTTTCAATCAATTAACAAATATGTATTGAGACTATCTTATGTATTAAGCACTCTTCCAGGGACTTGTGATACAGTAAATATTCTTGTTTCATAGAGCTTAATATTAATGTTAATTAATAATATAATTTATTAACTAAATATTAATTTATTGTTATTAATTATCATTTATTAATTAAATATTGTTAATATTAATTATTAATTAATGAATAATATATGCTGTGATACAGTAAATATTCTTGTTTATAGAGCTTCATTTCAAGTATAAGACATTTAATAAATGAAGAGGTAGATTGACAGATTAATAGAGGAAGAAGGAAAATCAAGCATTTTTAAATTCCATGGGGACAAACAAGAGGTAAAAGGATTGAGAGTTTAGAGTGGATAGTGAATCAATTCCAAATAATGTTAATGGGGAAGGCTTCACTGAGAAATTAATAAAGGCATACCTTGGCAATATGGCTTGGTTTGGTTACATACCACTGCAGTAAAACTAAGATTGCAATAAAGCGAGTCACATGAGTTTTTTTGATTTCCCAGTACATAAAAAATATGTTTAGACTATACTATAGTCTATTAAGTGTGCGATAGCATTATGTCTGAATAAAACAACGTAAATGGCTTAATTAAAAATACTGAATTGCTAAAAAAAACTGCTAACAATCATTTGAGCTTTCAGTGAGTCTTCTTTTTCTCCTGGAGGGTCTTGCTTTGATGTTGGTGGCTGCTGAATAGTCAGAATTTTGGTTACTAAAGGTTGGGGTGGCTCTGGAAATTTCTTAAAATAAGACAACAATGAAATTAACCACATTGATTGACCCTTCCTTTCATGAGATTTCTCTGTGGCATCTGATGTGGCTTGATAGCACTTGACCCACAATAGAACTTCTTTAAAAATGGGGTTAATCCTCCCTAACCCTACAACTGTTTTATCATCTAAGTTTATCTAATATTTGAAATCCCTTGTTGTTACTTCAGCAGTGTTCACAGCATCTTCACCAGGAGTAAATCCCATTTCAAGAAACCACTTTCTTTGCTCATCCACAAGAATCAACTCCTCATCCTTTCAAGTTTAATCATGAAATTTTAGCAATTCAGACATCTTCAGGTCCCACTTCTAATTCTAGTTATTTTGCTGTTTCCACCATACATGCAGTTATTTCCTCTTCTGAAATCTTGAACCCCTCAATTCATGAGGAATGGAATCAACCTTTTTCAAACTTCTGTTTGTGTTCATCTTTTGACATCTTCCCATGAATCATGAATGTTCTAATGATATCTATAATGGTATAGCCTTTCCAGAAGGTTTTAAATTTACTTTGCCCAGATCCCAGAGGAGTCACTCTGTATGGTGGCCATAGCCTTACAAAATGTATTTTTAAACTAAGACTTGAAAGTTGAAATTAGTCTTTGAACCATGGGCTTCAGAATGGGTGTTGTATTAGCAGGCATGAAAATAACACTAATTTCCTTGTGCATCTCCATCAGAGCTCTTGGGTGACAGGTGCCTTATCAACAAGTAGTAACATTTTTATTTTGTAAGTGAAAGCAAGTTTATTAAGAAAATAAAGGAATAAAGAATGGCTACTCCATAGACAGAGCAGCCCTAGGGGCTGTTGGTTGTCCATTTTTACAGTTATTTCTTGATTATATACTAAACAAGGGGTGGATTATTCATGCGTTTTCTGGCATTTCTTAGAACTGAGAATTCCTTCCATTTTTAGACCATATAGGATAACTTTATGACATTGCCATGGCATTTGTAAGCTGTTGTGGCACTGGTGGGAGTGTATCAGTGAGGATGACCAAAGGTCACTCTTTTCACCATCTTGGTTTTGGTGGGATTTAGCTGGCTTCTTTACTGCATGCTGTTTTATCAGCAAGGTCTTTATGACCTGTATCTTGTGTCGACCTCCTATCTAATCCTGTGAGTTAGAATGAGCAACTTAACTGGGAATGCAGCCCAGCATGTCTCAGCCTTATTTTACCCAACCACTACTTAAGATGGAGGCACTCTGATTCAAATGCCTCTGACATTATCCCCCTCCCTTTTATAAGAGAACCCTTAATCCTAAGGGTTTGAGAGGGATGAAGATCCATCTTCTGTAACTTCAGGCTGAACAGGGGCAATAATATTGCTGCCTAACTATTGGGTCTCTTGCATTCAGGGTAGAGAGGAGCTCAGTCAGAAAGTGTAGGTATGGTCAGGGCAATACATAACTCTTCAGTACCAACAAAAGGTGAGATCCATCCCTCTTGTTTCTTCTGAGCAGCAGCCAGAGATCACTGGTTGAACACAGGAATAAGCAGGGTTAGTCTAAATTGTATAAAAAACTCGAAAACAACTGATGAGACTAGCATCTAATAACATGTGTACCATATTTCTTGAAACATATTTTTTTCTCTCTCCAGTCTCCCATTTTTAATAAAGACAAATCATAGTACGACCAATTTGCTTTATTATATTTGGCCTGATTATCTGTATAAAGTGCAGCACGAATAATAATAATTTTTTATGATACTTTAAGTTCTGGGGTACATGTGCAGAGTGTGCAGGTTTGTTACATAGGTATACTTGTGCCCTGTTGGTTTGCAGCATCAATCACCCCTTCATCTACATTAGGTATTTCTCCTAGTGCTATCCCTCCCCTAGCGCCCCACCCCATGACAGGCCCTGGTGTGTGATGTTCTCCTGCCTGTGTCCATGTGTTCTCATTGTTCACCTCCTACTTATGAGTGAGAACATGTGGTGTTTGGTTTTCAGTTCGTGTGTTAGTTTGCTGAGAATGATGGTTTCCAGCTTCATCCATGTCCCTGCAAAGGACATTAACTCATTCTTTTTTATGGCTGCATAGTATCCCATGGTGTATATATGCCACATTTTCTTTACCGAGTCTGTCATTGATGGGCATTTGGGCTGGTTCCAAGTCTTTGCTATTGTGAAGAGTGCCGCAATACACATACGTGTGCATGTGTCTTTATAGTAGAATGATTTATAATCCTTTGGGTATATACCCAGTAATGGGATTGCTGGGTCAAATGGTATTTCTGGTTCTAGATACTTGAGTAATCGCCACACTGTCTTTCACAGTGGTTGAACTAATTTACACTCCCAACAGTGTAAAAGCATTCCTATTTCTCCACATCCTCTCCAACATCTGTGTTTTTCCTGACTTTTTAATCATCACCATTCTAACTGGCGTGAGATGGTATCTCATTGTGGTTTTGATTTGCATTTCTCTAATGACCAGTGATGACGAGGTTTTTTGTTTTTCATATGTTTGTTGGCTGCATAAATGTCTTCTTTTGAGAAGTGTCTGTTTATATCCTTCACCCACTTTTTGATGGGGTTATTTTTTTTTATTGTAAATTTGTTTAAGTTATTTGTAGATTCTGGATATTAGCCCTTTGTCAGATGGATAGATTGCAAAATTATTCTCCCATTCTGTAGTTTGCCTGTTCACTCTGATGATAGTTTCTTTTGCTGTGCAGAAGCTCTTTAGTTTAATTAGATCCCATTTGTCAATTCTGGCTTTTGTTGCCATTGCTTTTGGTGTTTTAATCATAAAGTCTTTCCCCATGCCTATGTCCTGAATGATACTGCCTAGGTTTTCTTCTGGGGTTTTTATGGTTTTAAGTCTTATGTTTAAGTGTTTAATTCATCTTGAGTTAATTTTTGTTTAAGGTATAAGGAAGATATCCAGTTTCAGTTTTCTCCATATGGCTAGCCAGTTTTCCCAAAACCATTTATTAAATAGGGAATCTTTCCCCATTGCTTTTGTCAGGTTTATCAAAGATCTGATGGTTGTAGATGCGTGGTGTTATTTCTGAGGCCTCTGTTCTGTTCCATTGGTCTATACATCTGTTTTGGTACCAGCACCATGCTGTTTTTGTTACTGTAGCCTTGTAGTATAGTTTGAAGTCAGGTAGCCTGATGCCTCCAGCTTTTTTTCTTTTTGCTTAGGATTGTCTTGGCAATGCGGGCTCCTTTTGGTTCCATATGAAATTTAAAGTAGTTTTTTCCAATACTGAGAAGAAAGTCAATGGTAGCTTAATGGGGATAGCATGGAATCTATAAATTACTTTGGGCAGTATGGTCATTTTCACGATACTGATTCTTCCTATCCATGAGCATGGAATGTATTTCCATTTATTTGTGTCCTCTCTTATTTCCTTGAGCAGTGGTTTGTAGTACTCCTTGAAGAAGTCCTTCACATTTCTTGTCAGTTGTATTCCTAGATATTTTATTCTCTTTCTGGCAATTATGAATAGGAGTTCACTCATGATTTGGCTCTGTTTGTCTGTTATTGGTGTATAGGAATGCTTATGATTTTTGCACATTGATTTTGTATCCTGAGACTTTGCTGAAGTTGCTTATCAGCTTAAGGAGATTTTGGGCTGAGACGATGGGGTTTTCTAAATAATCATGCCATCTGCAAACAGAGACAATTTGACTTTCTCTTTTCCTATTTGAATACCCTTTATATCTTTCTCTTGCCTGATTGCCCTGGCCAGAACTTCCAATACTATGTTGAATAGGAGTGGTAAGAGAGGGCATCCTTGCCTTATGCCAGTTTTCAAAGGGAATGCTTCCAGTTTTTGCCCATTCAGCATGATACTGGCTGTGGGTTGGTCATAAAGAGCTCTTATAATTTTGAGATGCGTTCCATCAATACCTAGTTTATGGAGAGTGTTTAGCATGAAGGGTGTTGTCAAAGGCCTTTTCTGCATCTATTGAGCTAATTATGTGCTTTTTTTTGGTCATTGGCTCTGTTTATGTGATGGATTACATTTATTGATTTGCATATATTGAACCAGCCTTGCATCCCAGGGATGAAGCCAACTTGATCATGGTGGATAAGCTTTTTGATGTGCTTCTGGATTCAGTTTACCAGTATTTTATTGAGGATTTTTGCATCAATGTTTATCAGGGATATTGGCCTGAAATTTTCTGTTTTTGTTGTGTCTCTGCCATGTTTTGGTATCAGGATTATTCTGGCCTCAATAAATGAGTTAGGGAGGATTCCTTCTTTTCTATTGTTTGCAATAGTTTCAGAAGGAATGGTACCAGCTCCTCTTTGTACCTCTGGTAGAATTTGGCTGTGAATCCATCTGGTCCTGGATGTTTTTTGGTTGGTAGGCTATTAATTGCTGCCTCAATTTCAGAACTTGTTATTGGTCTATTCAGGGATTCAACTTCTTCCTGGTTTAGACTTGGAAAGGTGTATGTGGCCAGGAATTTATCCATTTCTTCTAGATTTTCTAGTTTATTTCTGTAGAGGCATTTATAGTATTCTCTGATGGTAGTTTGTATTTTTGTGGGATCAGTGGTGATATCCCCTTTATCATTTTTTATTGCATGTATTTGATCCTTCTCTCTTTTCTTCTTTATTAGTCTGGTTAGTGGTCTATTTTGTTGATCTTTTCAAAAAAGCAGCTCCTGGATTCATTGATTTTTTGAAAGGTTTTTTTGTGTCTCTATCTCCTTCATTTCTGCTCTGATCTTAGTTATTTCTTGTCTTCTGCTAGCTCTTGAATTTGTTTGCTGTTGCTTCTCTAGTTCTTTTAATTTTGAGGTTAGGGTGTCAATTTTAGATCTTTCCTACTTTCTCTTGTGGCCATTTAGTACTATAAATTTTTCTCTACACACTGCTTTAAATATGTCCCAGAGATTCTACTACATTGTGTTTTTGTTCTCATTGGTTTCAAAGAACATCTTTATTTCTGCCTTCATTTCGTTATTTACCCAGTATTCATTCAGGAGCAGATTGTTCAGTTTCCATGTAGTTGTGCGGTTTTGAGTTAGCTTTTAATCCTGAGTTCTAGTTTGATTGCACTGTGGTCTGAGAGACTGTTTGCTATGATTTCCATTGTTTTGCATTTGCTGAAGAGTGTTTTACTTCCAATTATGTGGTCAATTTTAGAATAAGTCAGATGAGGTGCTGAGAAGAATGTATATTCTTTTGATTTGGGGTGGACAGTTCTGTAAATGTCTTTTAGGTCCACTTGGTCCAGAGCTGAATTCAAGTCCTGAATATCCTTGTTAATTTTCTGTGTCATTGATCTGTGTAATATTGACAGTGGGGTGTTAAAGTCTCCCACTATTATTGTGTGGGAGTCTAAGTCTCTTTGTAGGTCTCTAAGAATTTGCTTTAGGAATCTGGGTGCTCCTGTATTGGGTGCATATATATTTAGGATAATTAGCTCTTCTTGTTGCATTGATCCCTTTACCATTATGTAATACCCTCTTTGTCTCTTTTGACCTTTGTTGTTTAAAGTCTGTTTTATCAGAGACTAGGATTGCAACCTCTGCTTGTTTTTGCTTTCAATTTGCTTGGTAAATCTTCCTCCATCCCTTTATTTTGAGCCTATGTGTGTCTTTGCACGTGAGATGGGTCTCCTGAATACAACACACCAATGGGTCTTGACTCTTTATCCATTTTTCCAGTCTGTGTCTTTTAATTGGGGCATTTAGCCTGTTTAAATTTAAGGTTAATATTGTTATGTGTGAACTTGATCCTGTCATTATGATGCTAGGTGCTTATTTTGCCCCTTAGTTGGTGCAGTTTCTTCATAGAGTTGATGGACTTTACAATTTGGTATGTTTTTGCAGTGGTTGGTACTGATTGTTCCTTTCCATGTTTAGTGTTTCCTTCAGGAGCTCTTATAAGGCAGGCTTGGTGGTAACAAAATCTCTCCGCATTTGATTGTCTTTAATGGATTTTATTTCTCTTTTGCTTATGAAACTTAGTTTGGCTGGATATGAAATTCTGTGTTGAAAATACTTTTCTTTAAGAATGTTGAATATTGGTCCTCACTCTCTTCTTGCTTGTAGGGTTTCTGTAGAGAGATCTGCTGTTAGTCTGATGGGCTTCCCTTTGTGGATAATGCGACTTTTCCCTCTGGCTGCCCTTAACATTTTTTCCTTCATGTCATCCTTGGTGAATCTGAGGATTATGTGTCTTGGGGTTTCTCTTCTCGAGTAGTATCTTTGTGGTGTTCTCTGTATTTCCTGAATTTGAGTGTTGGCCTGTCTTGCTATGTTGGGGAAGTTATCCTGGATAATATCCTGAAGAGTGTTTTCCAACTTGGTTCTATTCTCCCCATCACTTTCAGGTACACCTAACAAACGTAGATTTGTTCTTTTTACACAGTTCCATATTTCTTGGAGGCTTTGTTCATTCATTTTCATTTTTTTCTCTCATTTTCTCTTCTCGCTTAATTTCATTAAGTTGATCTTCAATCTCTGATATTCCTTTCTTCCACTTGATCAATTTGGCTATTGATACTTGTATATGCTTCATGAAATTCTTGTGCTGTGTTTTTCAGCTCCATCAGGTCATTTATGTTCTTTTCTAAACTGGTTATTCTATTTAACAATTCGTCTCACCTTCTTGCAAGGTTTTTAGCTTCCTCGCATTGGGTTAGAACATGCTCCTTTAGCTCAGAGGAGTTTGTTATTACCCACCTTCTGAAGTGTACTTCCGTCAATTCATCAAACTCATTCTCCATCCAGTTTTGTTACCTTTCTGATGAGGAGTTGTGATCCTTTGGAGTAGAAGAGATGTTCTGGTTTTTGGAATTTTCAGCCTTTTTACGCTGGTTTCTCCCCATCTTTGTGAATTTATCTACCTTTGCTCTTTGATGTTGGTGACTTTTGGATGGTGTCTCTGAGTAGATGTCCTTTTTGTTGATGTTGATGCTATCCCTTTCTGTTTGTTAGTTTTCTTTGTAACAGGCCACTCTGCTGCAGGTCTGCTGGAGTTTTCTGGAGTTCTACTCCAGACCCTGTTTGCCTGGGTATCACCAATGGAGATGGCAGAACAGCAAAGATATTGCCGCCTGTTCCTTCCTCTGGAAGCTTCGTCCCAGAGGGGCACCCACCGGATGCCAGCCACAGCTCTCCTGTATGAGGTGTCTGTCGACCCCTACTCGGAGATGTCTCCCAGTCAGGATACACAGAGGTCAGGCACCCAGTTGAGGAGGCAGTCTGACCCTTAGCAGAGACTCAAACGCTGTGCTTCGAGATCTGCTGCTCTCAGAGCCATCAGGCAGGGATGTTTAAGTCTGCTGAAGCTGTGCCCATAGCCACCCCTTCCTCCCAGCTGCTCTGTCCCAGGGAGATGAGGGTTTTATCTATAATCCCCTAACCAGGGCAGCTGCCTTTTTTTCTGTTCAGAGAGGAGGAATCTAGAGAGGCAGTCTGGCCACAGCAGCCTTGCTTAGCTGTGGTGGGCTCCACCCAGTTCGAACTTCGTTTACACTGTGAGGATAAAACTGCCTACTTAAGCCTCAGCAGTGGTGGATGCCCCTCCCGCGATCAAGCTCGAGCATCCCAGGTCAACCTCAGACTGCTGTGCTGGCAGCAAAAATTTCAGGCTAGTGGATCTTGGCTTGCTGGGCTCTGTGGAGGTGAGACCCACTGAGGCAGACCACTTGGCTCCCTGGCTTCAGCCCCCTTTCCAGGGGAGTGAATGGTTTTGTCTTGCTGGAATTCCAGTTGCCATTGGGATATGGAAAAAAAAAAATCTCCCGCAGCTAGCTTGGTGTCTGCCCAACCAGCTGCCCAGTTTTGTGCTTGAAACCCTGGGCCCTGATGGCATAGGCACTGGAGGGAATCTCCTGGTCTGCGGGTTGCGAAGGTCTTAGAAAAAGTGCAGTGTCTGGGCCAGAGTGCACCATTCCTCACAGCACAGTCCCTCATGGCTTCCCTTGAGTTCAGGAGAGAATTCCTCAACCCCTTGCACTTCCTGGGTGAGGCGATGCCCCAGCCTGCTTTGGCTCGCAATCCATGGGCTGCACCCACTGTCCACCCAGTCCCAATGAGATGAACTGGGTACTCAGTTGGAAATGCAGAAATCACCCACCTTCTGCATCGGTCTCACTGGGAGCTGCAGACCAGGGCTGTTCCTATTTGGCCATCTTGCCATCAAATCCAAGAATGATTATTTTATAGAGGCTTTTTAAATTGGCTTTGATGGAACTTTGTTCCATAAAAGGAATATCAGATAAAATTTTTCTTTTTTTTAAAGCCAAGTCTGGTCATGGGTTTGTACCCTTAAATACCTATAAGTTAGGTAAATTCCTCTCCTCTTGAGGTCCCAGGATAACTTGGGGCTCCCGGGCCTGTCAGAAAGTGACATTCTTTACTTACCACAGGTTAGCAACTCTGGATAGAGATTGTATGGGCAAGGTATGAGGCCATTTTTCTTAAGGGTCTTTTATTGGCTTTATAAGTCAAGTTTGATTCCGTAAAGGAAAGTGTGCCATTCCAGTCAAAGCCTTGGTAAAATAACCAGTTTCTCCAATTGTGTCCTGTTACAAAAGAGAAAATATTCTTATTGCACTTATGCAATAACTATATTGCCATAAGTTAAGAATACCCACGGCTTGTTTTCCAATTTTGGAGAAATCAGGTGGAGAGAAACAAATATGCCTCAAATTTGGTTCACAGGAGTATACTTTACTTGATTGTTAAAAGCTGTCTAGGCCGGGTGCAGTGGCTCATGCCTGTAATCCCAGCACTTTGGCAGGCCCAGGTGAGTGGATCACGAGGTCAGGAGATTGAGACCATCCTGGCTAACACGGTGAAGCCCCGTCTCTACTAAAAATACAAAAAATTATCCGGACATGGTGGTGGGCGCCTGTAGTCCCAGCTACTCAGGAGGCTGAGGCAGGAGAATGGCGTGAACCCGGGATGAGGAGCTTGCAGTGAGCCGAGATCATGCCACTGCACTCCAGCCTGGGTGACAGAGCAAGACTCCATCTCAAAAAAAAAAAAAAAAAGCTGTCTATAGCTCAAAAGTTTCCTTAACTCTGAAAAACAAAACAAAGGATCAGCAACATTTTAAGCAAAGAGTCAAAAAGATTACTTTAGACTTCTATCTTAATTTAGTCCATGCAGTTTAACCCCTGTTTGATGTTCAGGAACATTTCAGCTGTGCCTGAGATTCCTCTAAGTTTTTTCCTCTATTTTACTGTTATAATCTCCAATGTTATCAGAAACCTGCATTCAGGATCACCTGTCAAATTCCTGTAGCTGATTTTAAAACCTCCTTTTGAAGGGGACCAAAACAAGACAACAATTGTCTGTGAATGACAAAATGTCTTAGGGCAACCATAGTCAAAAACATGATTGACAAAGAAATTTGGTTACATCTGTGGCATACAATGATTTTATGTAACAATTACAATTATTACTGATAATATACACTGTGTCTTATCAGAATTATAGGAGTTTCCCATTATTTTGGAATACATACCAATAACATATTTATACAAATACAGCCCAAAGAAAGCCAAACACCATTTAATATTTGACAATAGTTCCTGTATCATTTTTATACCAAATAATACAAATTTCACTTTTGTGTTAGTGCATTATTGATGTCAAATTCAATTCTTAATAAAACCTTGTCGACAAATATATTCAATCTTAATCAGTTTGACCATAAGGTAAGGTTCTTATAAACCTTTTATAACCTTTTACAATTTTTTTAAAGAGCAGATCAGTGCTGTAAGTAACACTTGTTGTGCTTTTATTTCTATGTTCAATTTATGGAAGAACTGAATAATACCCCTTTAACTTTAGCCAATATGTTTGCACGCAGAATCTCTTTACAATTAATTTTTTATAAACTTTCCACAACTTGTTCAAACCTTTATATATATTTTTCTATCTCACATAAAACAATCCTTTAACCCTCTAAATGTAGACAAGAAATTCACATTCCCATGTCTTCTTATAATCTTTTACCAAAAGTACATTCTACTTTCCTGATAGGCCTTGCATGTAGAACTGTTTTCTTAGTAGTCTCAACTACGTGTTACACTGTTAACTCTTAGCAACTTTTTCTTTTGGTGAAAAACTTGGTTAATAAGTGATTGTAATTATGTACCAGGTGTGGAGCCTATGACATCAGACAGAAGTGTAGATAAAAGCTGACTCTTCCCCGCATAGCTAGAGGGCAAGGCTCTCCACATGACCCCAGGCCTTATCTATTATAGAATCTGATGCTCCAAACTAAGTAAACTGAATAATTGAGAAAAGTCAAAGAATCAGTTTATGACCCTAAAGCATTTAGCAAACTAATACATCACCTGCCTAATTTAGACCAAATGTCTAAATTTTGAAGACTTTTATTTTACCAATAATCTTTAAAACTTTATTTATTTACCAAAGATATGTTACATGAAGTAAAAGGCATTACACTTTTTATTTTTCTGATAACATACTTGATTTAAGCTCTTATTAATTTTAAACCAATGAATCAAAGCTCTTTTATATTTCACATACACAATATATATAAATACCCAGACAGACAAAAGATTCAGTAGTTGTAAGATTTTTCATTTACCAGTTTCTTAATTGGATTACTGGCTTTAGAGTGGAGCCCTTGGAGGAACAGGGCCAGGAGAGCATACAGTTTCTAGGGCCTAATAAGCAGGCACAGTTGGGAGGTAAAACAGATTTCTAGAATTTAAGGGTCCCATTTTTATACCAGATCTTGGATCTCCTAAAACAGGGAATCAATGCATCTCCCACAGGAGTCTTATCTCTCAGTAGGGGTCGGGTGGGGACATTTCCATAACTTCTAGGTGTCGAAGAGCATGCTTCTCTGATCAAATGTGCAGAGCTTAGTATTTCCCCATAACTGCCATTAGCTATCCCCAAAAGTAAATTTCCTACCTAGTTATTACACACCAAAGCTCTCTCATAATGTGAAGTAATTTGTGAACTAATTTCTGACACCCCCAAAAGTTAAAGTTGTCAGATAATGCAATGCAAATCAGAACAGAGCCTTAGATTTTGAGTGGGCTCTTATCCACTTCTAATTTCTTGGATTTCATGAGGAAAAGAGAAGTTTTTCCTAAAATGGGGTCTGTGGTGCCTCTTCAGTTTTTTTTACCAAGGAGCCTCAGGCTGTTAGAGCTTGAATATCCACTTTCAATTAAGCTGACTTTTAAACATAGCACTCTTAAAAAAAAAACTTTTAAATTTCTTATTACCTGATTTTAGCCAGGCCAAACAGCCAATATTTCTGGCGTTTGAACCTTACTAAAGGTAACCTCCGATATGCTCAGAGAAAGGACAATTCAACATGGTTTTTGGAGGGGAAGAAAATTAACAAATGGTAAATGTCATGCAGGTATCAACCCAGAAAGGACTCATTCCCTAAGCCAGAAATTGAACCTAGGCTGCCCCCGTAAAATGGCAAAACTTTAGCTGCTGAGCTACAGCATTGGGCAGTTTCCAATGCTCTTCCCAGAAGGAGTCTAGAGCAGCCAATTTTGAGCTTGTGAAGTCTTTTAGCAAGATAATTTTTAGGGCTGACTATTTCATGAACCCCCAAATTTCTGTCCTCCAGATGGCAGAGACCAAGAGAAAGTAGTGCCACGTGGTTACAAGGTCAAGCTCCCAAGGACATAACTGACCAGTTTGCTGTGCTGTCTTGAACAGAGGGCTTATGGGGCCCTAAGCCCCTGTTCTATCCTAAGGTACCCCTCTTTCTGACAGAAAGATACAGAAAGACAAATTCATAGCACAAAATACAACAGATTTGCTACAGTTTAAGGCTAGCCTCACAAATCCTTTTTCCAATTAATCAGAACTTTACAGAGGAGATAAACCATGATTTTTACCATTCATTCAATTTTGAATGATTTTCAAAGTTCATTCATTCAACTTTGAATGAATGGTAAAAATAACTGTTTATGAGAGAGAGAGAAAGGAAGGGAAAGGGAGAAAAGCATTGCCTGCAATGGGATGGGGAAGTCTAGGAGCTCAGGGAGGCCAGAGAAAGACCCATTCACTGCAGCCACACTGAAAAGTTTAGGCAGCTGCTTGTCAGTCACACAGGGATTTTTCCCAGCAGCCCCGTCAACTCTCAAATTTCCCCTTTTAGGGAGAAAAACTCCCCATGTCCCATGATCCTGTACATGCCTAATTCTGCCACCCATAGCCGTCAGCAAAGAGTGAAAGACAGATTAATCCAAAGAGAATAGCAATTAATATCCCATAGTGCCAAACCTGTTGTTAGCCAAGAGGGACTTTACTGAATGGGGCCTCTCATCCCCTAAATCTTAGGAAGGACTCTCACCTCCCTAAGTTGGGTCTCAAACCCAGGTTCAGTCAAGTGTCCTTGCTTTTAGTAAGAGGGGCCTTTAACTCTCTCTGTCTTAGGAGAGACTCTAAATTTCCTAGGTTGGGCCTCGGATCCAGTCCCATCTTTTACCTGGGTAAATTCATCCCACTTACCCGGAGTTAGCCAATTGGTGTTTCACACAGATGATTTTCCTTTGGGTCGGGTGTCTCTTCAGTATCATCCCTTCTGTGGTTCGCCAGAAAGATATTACCAGAAAGGGGTCCAAATCCAGACCCCAAGAGATGGTTCTTGGATCTCACACAAAAAAGAATTCAAGGTGAATCCACAGAGTAAAATGAAAGCAAGTTTATTAAGAAACTAAAGGAATAAAGAATGGCTACTCCATAGGCAGAACAGCTGTCAATGAGTAGTAATACTTTGAAAAGGAATCTTTTTCTAAGTACTAGGTCTCAACAGCAGGCTTAAAATATTTAGTAAACCATGCTGTAATCAGATGTGCATTCACCCAGGGTTTGCTTTTCTATATCTACAGCACAAGCACAATATATTTAGCATAATTTTTAAGGATCCTAGGATTTTCAGAATGGTAAATGAGCATTGACTTCAACCTAAAGTCACCAGCTGCTGCATGAGCTCCAGAGTCAGCCTATCCTTTGAAGCTTTGAAGCCAGGCGTTGACTTCTTTCTAGCTCTGAATGTCCTAGATAGCATCTTTTTCTATTATAAGACTGTTTTGTCTACATTGAAAATCTTTTGCATAGTGTAGCCACTTTCATAAATGATGTTAGCTTGATCTTCTGAATAACTTGTTGCAGTTTCTGCATCAGCACTTGCTTCACCTTGTATTTTATGTTATGAAGACAGCTTCTTTCCTTAATCTTTGTGAATCATCCTCTGCTAGCATTCAGCTTTTCTTCTACAGCTTCCCCACCTCTCTTGGCCTTCAAAGAATCAAAGATAATTAGGGTCTTTCTCTGGGTTATGCTTTGGTTTAAGGAAATGTTGTGGCTGGTTTGTTATTTAATTTAGACCACTCAAACTTTCTCCAGAGATGTAATACCCAGTTTTGGAGATGGTGCCTGGTGGGAAGAGTTTGGGTCATGGGGGTAGAGCCGTCATGGCTTGGTGCCATCCTTGTGATAGTGAGTGATTTATGAGATCTGGTCATTTAAAAGTGTGTGGCACCCTTACCCCCTACTTGCTCCTGTATTTGCCACATAATGTGCTTGCTCCTGCTTTGTCTTCTGCCATAAGTAAAAGCTCCTTGAGACCTCCCCAGAAGCCAAGCAAGTATCAGCACTATGCTTGTACAGCCTTCAGAACACTGAACCAATTAAGCCTTTTTATGTATTACCCAGTCTTAAGTATTTCTTTATAGCAAGAATAGCCTAACACAGAAAACTGATACTAAGAAGTTGGGCATTGCTATAAAGATAACCTTTAAATGAGGAAGGAACTTTGGAACTGAGTAACAGACAGATGCTGGGAGAGTTTGGAGGGCTTAGAAGAAGACAGAAAGATGAGGAAAAGTTTGGAACTTCTTAGAGACTGCTTAAATGGTTGTAACCAAATTCTGATAGTGATATGGACAGTGAATTCTGGGCTGACAAGGTCTCAGATGAAAATGAGAAACTTATTAAGAACTGGAGCAAATGTAACTCATGTTATGCCTTAGCAAATAACTTGTCTGTATTTTAGGGTATCTAGCAGAAAAAATTTCTAAGCAGCAAAGCATTTAAGAAATGGCCTGTTTGCTTCTAACAGCCTATGCTCAGATGCAGGAGCAAAAAAGTAACTAAAAATTAATTTGAATTTACATTTAAAGGGGAAGCTGAGCATAAAAGTTTGGAAAATTTGCAGCCTGGCCATGTAGCAGAGAAAGAAAAAGCATTATTAGGAGATGAATTCAGAGGGGCTATGGAGCAACCACTTGCTGGAGATATTAGCATGGCTAAAAAGAGTCAAGTGCTAATAGCCAAGACATGGGAAAAAGGCCTCCAAGGCATTTCAGAGATCTTTTTGGCAGCTCTTCTTAGAATGACTTGGGGGACCAGGCCTGGGGCTTGGCTGCCTTGTGCAGCCTTGGGACACTACTCTGGCATTCAGGCCACTCAGACCAAGCCTCAGCTCATAGGGCCTCAGGTATAGCTCAGGCTGTAGTTCCAGATGGTTCAAGCTGTTAAGTCTGGAAGCTTCCACGTGATGTTAAGTCTGTAGGCACACAGAGTGCAAGAGTGAGGGAGGCTTGGCGGCCTGTGCTTAGATTTCAGAGGATATATGAGAAAACCTGGGTGCCCAGGCAGAAGCCTGCTATAAGGGTGGAGCCCTCACAGAGAAACTCTACTAGTGCAATGTGGAGGGGAAATGTGGGGTTGGAGGCCCCACACAGATTCCCCGCTGGGGCACTGCCTACTGGAAATGTGGGAAGGGGGCCATTGTCCTCCAGATGCCAGAATGATAGATCCACTTGCAGCTTGTACCCTGCACCTGGAAAAGCTGCAGGCACTGAACTCCAACCTGTGAGAGTAGTTGCAGGGGCTGTATCCTGCAGAGACACAGGGGCAGAGTTGCCCAAGGTCTAGAAAGCCCACTCCTTACTGCAGTTTGCCCTGGATTTAGGATATGGGGTAATAAGGGATTATTTTGGAGCCTTAAGATTTTATGACTGTCCTGCTGGGCTTCAGACTTGTGTAGAGGCTGGAGCCCTTTTCTTCTGGCCAGTTTCTCTCTTTTGGAACAGGCATGTTTTCTCAATTCCTGAACCTCCATTGTACCTTTAAAGTAACTACCTGTTTTTGATTTTATAGGCCCATAGGTGGAAGGAATGCATCTCCAGATGAGACTTTGGACTTGGGGCTTGGGACTTTTGAGTGATGCTAAAATGAGTTAAGAGTTTGGGAACCTATTGGAAAGCATGATTGTAATTTGCAATGTGAGAAGAACATGAGATTTGGGGGGCAGAGGGCGAAATGCCATAGTTTGGATGTACCCTCCAAATCTTATTTTGGAGGTGGGGCCTGGTGGGAAGTGTTTGAGTCATGAAGGAGGATCCATTCTGGCTTGGGGCTTTCCTTACAATAGAGAATGAGTTCTCATGAGATCTGGTTTTTTAAAGTGTGTGGTAACCTCTCTGTGCCACCTTGTGCTGCTCCCACCATGTGATATGCCTGCTCTTGCTTACCTTCTGCCATGAGTAAAACTACCTGAGACCTCCCCACATTGAAGCAGATGTCAGTGCCATGCTTCTGCAGCTTGCAGAACTGTTAAGCAATTAAGCTTCTTTTCTTTATAAATTACACAGTCTCAGGTATATTTTTATAGCAATGGAAGAATGGCTTAACAACTTTCTTTTGATTTGTGTATTTACTGTGGTAGCATTTTTAATTTTCTTCAAGAACTTTTCTATTGCATTTACACTTGGGTAACTGTTTGGTGCAAGAGGTCTAGCTACTGTCGTTTTTGCTTTCAACATGCTTTCCTCACTGAACTTAATCACTTATAGCTTTTAATTTAAAGTGAGAGACCCCTGACTCTTCCTTTCACTTGAACACTTACAGGTCATTGTTGGGTTATTAATTAGACTAATTTCAGCACTGTTATGTCTTATGGAATAGAGAGGCTGGAGGGGAGGGAGAGAGATGGGAGAGTGTCTGGTCAGTGGAGCCATAGGAACACACACCACATTTATAGATTAAGTTTGCCATTTTATATGTGCATGGTTTGTGTTGCCCTCAAAGAATTACAATAGTAACATCAAAGATTGCTGATCACAGTTCATCATAACAGATATAATAATAATAATGGAAAAGTCTGAAATATTGAGAAAATTACCAAAATGTGACGTTGAGACATGAAGGGAGCACATACTGTTAGAAAAATGGCACTGAGAGCTGATAGACTTGCTAATGCAGGGTTGCCACAAACCTTCAATTTAAAAAAAAACAAAAAACAAAAAACCAATCCCAACAGTATCTGTAAAGCACAATAAAGCAAGACACAATAAAATGAGGTATGCCTGTATTTGAGTAACAGCCTTAGGCTTACTAAAAAGTTATGTTTTGGTTTTTCAATTTTTTCATTGTGTTCTCTATGTGAACAAATACTGCTTTATAGTAAGTCAAAAATATATTAAAAATTTAAATGTTTTAACAATAAAATTAAATAATTTAATTTAAATAGTTTAAATGGTTTAAATTTTACAGCAAAATATTTAAATGTTAAAATATTAAATTATTTTTAGATTTTAAATAAATGAAGAAAAACAGTTGATGTTGACAGCATAATTTTTATTAGAAACCAAATATTTAAATGAATGATAGACTCAGCAATGCATAGCATATAAGACAACATTTGTAGGCTTAACCTATCAGGTACTGAGACTTACTTTACTCAGTAATGAGTAGATCATTACTCATGAAAATAACATTGTGATTTCCGTATCACATTCCCACAGGAAATTATTTTAGGAAACAGGTATAATTTATCTTAGAAGTTAATTGAACATATCTCATGAAGGTAGTTTTGCTCACTTTTTCAATAAACATAAATAATACCTTTGATGTAAAAATCACTGTTGTGTAAAAATTAATTATTTATTCTGTTTTCTCAGTGACTTATAATATTCTAGCTTCAGAAGTACTAGAAAGTGTTTCAAAATGCAGTTCATCACTCTTGCTGAGTGCTGTTAACCTACTGCAAAAATGTATAACTTTTTTGGTCATTTTTCTATAGCTGCCAGAAATGCTTCTGAGGTGATAAAATGCAGGATAATTCTGAGTGTGGGCAAAAGCTGGTCAGATCAGTTTTGGGGATTTGTGGATTCTATATCTTTATTCGAAATGATAGAAATTTTATTATTAAACATGAACTAACTTTATTAATTTTCAACCTCAAATTATTTTTGTTTCTTTGGACACTTTTTATATATAATATATATTTATTTATATTATATATAAATATGTATATTTATATAAGAGATACATAAATATATATACAGAGAGAGTAAATTCTCTACACATAATTTGAGAATGATTATATTTGGTAAGAAGCATATATTATAGATAAAATTATTCCATGTATAGTACACAGATTATTAGTTTTCTGATTTAGAATAAAGTAATTCACTTTTTGAGTACTTCTAAAGAACTGAAGACTGGGAAAAGCTTCATTTGAGGAGAGATTGAATATGCAGGGTGGAGTGGGGAGGAGAAAACTGATGAAGTGGTATTTTAGAACATAAATTAGGATAATAGAATTAAAGTCTAAAATAGAGTGGTAAGCCTCAAAGCAGAAAGTGGACTTGGTTTATTTATTGAGATGGGAAGTTAAGTGCCAAGAAAAATTGAAAATACAGCAGTCTTCTTTTTTTTAATGGTTTCACTTTCTATGGCCTCAGTTACCTGAATCAAGTGCAGTCTGAAAATAGGCGAGTACAGTAAAATAAAATATTTTGAGAGAGAGAGAGAGACCATATTCACACAACTTTTATAACAATATGTTGTTGTAATTGTTCTACTTTATGATTAGTTACTATTGTCATTCTTACTATGCCTAATTTAGAAATTAAACTTTATTATGGATATGTATATATAGGAAAAAACATAGTATTTATAGGGTTCGATACTATCCTTGATTTCAGGCATACACTGGAGTTCTTGGAACGTGTCCCCGTGGATAAGAACAGACTACTATAAATAGGTTTTATATCTCTCTATATAGATAATATATAGAAGAGAGCTTTTCTCAAACATCTTGTGGTGTGGCTTTGCATAATGGAGTGATTTATAAATCAATAAAAGCTCACATAGTTTTAAAAATAATAGGGTCAGCTTGGCCTAAGAGGTACAAACAGTATATAAAATGAAAAGAGGCCTTTGGACTCTCAGATTTCTACAGGAAGGAAATGGCCAAAAAAACTCTTTAGCTGTAAACATGGGCTACTTTTTACGGAAAAGGAAGGATGACTCTGAGGACAGAGTATATATATATATATAATTCTGAGTAGATCTGATGCATATAAAAGACAGCTCTTCTACTGACCTTCAAATCTGAATGAAGCTAGTCAAGTTAAGTCCTAAGAAAAATGTGGGGAAATTAGGAAAAGAAAATTTTAAGAAAATATAGAAAATTTTAAATAGGCTTGCCTTTTAATGGAAGAGTTGCCTCTAGAGTTAAAAGGCTTCTTATCACTAAAATTATCCAAGTATAAGCTATCTAATTTAATTTTCAGGAATGCTCTGGGATAGATTTTCTGCAGAGAGTGAGAAGCTGAACTTCAGAAACTTTAAGCACATTTCACGATGTCTAAAGTCTAATAATCCTCTAGATAATGGGGAAGCAGCCAGTGTAAAATGCAACAGTAAAAACTGTGATAGACTATAATGAAATAATTTATTCTATTTATAAGGAAAATTTGGATTTATAGAGAACAGTTCAAGGGGAAATGGCACCATGTCTAAGCAAGTATTCTAAAGTTAAGAAATGTTTTTGCTAATTCTTACAATTTTATCGTGACATTTAAAATAATTCAATACCATTTTTATTACTAATGTAGTTTATAGTAATAGATTGTGAAGAGTAATCATTATTAGTAAAAACAATAATTTATCAGATAGTTCATAGTGCCAGTAGGATCTTTAAAATAAATTTATATTTATTATATGTATATATCATATATATACACACTAATTGAATCTTCATAACAACTGTATAATCACCATGCTTTACAGAAAAGATAACTGAATCATAGGGAAGTTACATAACTTGCTAAAGTCACACATTTCCAAGGTGGAATGTAGCTGGGATTCAAATATAGGCAGTTTGGCATGTGGGCCTGTTCTTTTAACTTCTATTCTTTGTTAAGTACACCCTGTATTTGTCAGAATTCTCCAGAAAAACAGAACCAATAGGAAATATATGTATATATAAAATAATATATAATATATAAAATATATAATATATATTTTCTACACACATGTGTATAAATGTATATTTATATTTATGTATGTGCATATATGAGAGAAATAAAAAAGAAAAAGAAAGAGTGAAAGAGAAAGAGAAAGAAAGGAAGGAGGAAGGCAGGAAGGGAAGGAAGGAAGGAAGAGGGTCAGAAAGAGAGAGAGACAGAAAGAGAGTGAAAGAAAAAGAAAAGAAAAGAAAAAGAAAGAAAGAAAGGTAGAGAAAGAGAGGGAGGGAGGAAGGAAGGAAGGAAGGAAAGGAAGATAGATTGATTCTCCCTTTCTCTGCCTTTTTGTTCTATTTAGGCCCTGAAAGGATGCATGATGCTCATCCGTGGTGAGGAGGGCAATCTGCTTTACTCAGTCTACCAATTCAAATACTAATCTCTTCAGAAACACTCTCACAGACATATCCAGAAATGATCTTTAAACAGGTCTCTGAAATAGGAATGCTTTTACACTGTTGGTGGGAGTGTAAATTTGCTCAACCATTGTGGAAGACAGTGTGGTGATTCCTTAAGGATATAGATCCAGAAATACCATTTGACCCAGCAATCCCATTATTGGGTATATACCCAAAGGATTATAAATCATTCTACTATAAAGACACATGCACATGTATGTTTATTGCAGCACTGTTCACAATAGCAAAGACTTGGAACCAACGCAAATGACTATCAATGATAGATTGGATAAAGAAAATGTGGCACATATATACCATGGAGTACTATGCAGCCATAAAAAAGGATAAGTTCATGTCCTTTGCAGGGACATGGATGAAGCTGGAAGCCATCATTCTCAGCAAACTAACACATGAACTGAAAACCAAACACTGCATGTTGTCACTCATAATTGGGAGTTGAACAATGAGAACACATGGACACAGGGAGGGGAGCACCACACACTGAGGCCTGTTGGGGGATGGGAGGCTAGGGGAGGGATAGCATTAGGAGAAATACCTAATGTAGTTGATGGGTTGATGGGTGCAACAAACCACCATGGCACATGTATACTTATGTAACAAACCTGCACATTCTGCACATGTATCCCAGAACTTAAAGTAGAATAATAATAAAAAAACAGGTATTTGGGAATCCTGTGAACCAGTCAAGTTGACACATGAAATTAGCTATCACAAGTCTACCTCTTGTCAGCTTGGCATTCATATGAATCTACTTAAACCATACTTAATCTCCAAATAAAGATAACAAGATCATACTTCTGCCTAACATAGTGCAGCTATCCTGTGTACAACCAAAAATGCACTAACCTTTTCCCAGAAGAGAAGGTAAAGTCCCTGAGTGATATTTACCCTTCTTCCCAACATCTTGTTACTTAAATGGTATTATGTAAAATTAACAATACTTAAATACCATAATATAAAGTCATTACATCTTATGTTACATGACAAGAGAGTGAGGAAAGAAAACAAAAGATTTTATATATACAGGTTGAGTATCCTTAATCTAAAAATCCAAAATCCAAAATGAAAAATATTCGGAAAGCTGAAACTTTTTGAGCACTGAATGACGCTCAAAGGAAATGCTCATTAGAGAATTTCAGATTTTGAATTTTCTAATTAGGGATGCTAAACCACTAAGTATAATAATGCAAATATTCCCAAATCTGAAAAATTCTGAAATCCAAAACATTTTCAGTCCCAAGCCTTTTGGATAAGGGATAGTCAAGCTGTATATACAAACGTGTGCACACGCATGCACACACATACACACACACACCGGTAAATGTTTCTGTAACTGGTCACATAGTCAAAGCTGGTATTTGTAATTACTTTCTTTCGCTACCATTATGTTTTCTCTTTGCCTTTAGCAAAGCTGACTTCAGCTAGTCATGGTTCTTTACCTGGTGATATGACCCATACCTTCGTTTCTGAAAAGTGCAGGACGTTGGTAGTCCTGCTTGAATTGGGTGGTTGTGCTTTTGCATTGACCTTAATAACAAGGCACAGTAATACTAAGAAATACTGTATTAGTCAGGGTTCTCTAGAGGGACAGAACTAATGGGGTGGGTTTATTAAGTAGTATTAACTCACACGATCACAGGGTCCCACAATAGGCTCTCTGCAAGCTGAAGAGCACGGAAGTCAGTCCGAATCCCAAAGCTGAAGAACTTGGACTCCAATGTTCAAGGGCAGGAGGCATCCAGCACAGGAGAAAGATGTAGGCTGGGAGGCTAAGCCAGTGTAGTCTTTTCACGTTTTTCTGCCTGTTTTATATCCTGTCCATGCTGGCAGCTGATTAGGTACTGCCCACCCAGATTAAGGCTGGGTCTGCCTTTCCCAGCCCACTGACTCAAATGTTAATCTCCTTTGGCAACACCCTCACAGACACACCCAGGATCAATACTTTGCATCCTTCAATCCAATCAAGTTGACACTCAGTATTAACCATCACACTGACCATTTAGCCAACTATTGTCCACAGCCCATAATAAAAATAAAAAAATTACCCAGGTGTGGTGGCATGTACCTTTAATCTCAGCTACTTGGATGGCTGAGGCAGGAGAATCACTTGAACCTGGGAAGCAGAGGTTGTAGTGAGCCGAGATTGCACCACTGCACTCCAGCCTGGGTGACAGAGTGAGACTCTGTCTCAAAACAAAAAACAAAACAAAACAAAATGTATCTTAGAAAGTCCTAAATTAATAGCCTAAGCATAATGGCTACCAGAATAACCAGTTATTTGACATTTTGACATTTAAGGAAGGTATTGTTTTGGTCATTTCATCTTTCATAATAATGTAAGTCACTAAAGTGAAATTAATAAAATATATCTCAACAATACAAACAAAATACATTTGTTATAAATATATCAATAATGTTATGTCTGTTTGGAGGAACTATCAGATCCCATTACTGTTTTTGATTTTTCATGATCTCATTAGGTGTATTATCATTGTAATAATTTAATGGTGTGAGTATATGCAATTCTTTTTAGAGTACATTCTACTGAAAGCAACTTGATATGCTGGAATAAAGATGGACTCTGGATTCTAACAGAATGCATTCTAATTGTGACTTTCTGATTACTTGAATGACCTAACCTTAGCTGAATTTTGCTTATTAGCAGGATTCTCAATTTTCAGAGCTGTAGTTTCTCAACCCATAAAAGGAAATCATTAGTATTTTTTCATAAAGTTGTTGTAATGCTTAAGTTAAAAATATATTAAATATATTTTAAAAATTTAAATGAAATAAAATTGTGTACATTTTTTATTTATAAAACATGCTTTTTTTTTTTTTTTTTTTTTTTTTTTTTTTTTTAAGAGACAGGGTCTTGCTATGCTGCCCAAGCTGGACTTGAACTCCTGGGCTCAAGCAATTCTCCTGTTTCAGACTCCTGAGTAGCTGGGAATATAGGCATGCACCACTGCATCTGACCTAAACAAATTTGAAATCTGTATACTTCATGGAATAGTTGAGTCAAGCTAATTAACATCTATATGACCTCACATACTTATTTTTTATGGTAACAATAAAAATGGATTTAAATCTCCTAGCATAGTACCCATAGCATAGTAAGTGCTCAATAAATGTTACTTTCTTTTTTTAAAAAAGTATCAGATTTGGGAGTACATGTGCAGCTTTGTTACACAGGTTAATTGCATATTGTTGAAGCTTGTTGCACGAATGATCCTATCACTAAGGTAGTGAGCATAGTACCTGATAGGTAGCCTTCCATTTATTTTATTTTATTTTTTTTACTGTTTTTACTTTGACCCTGCACAGTTATACCTAGCGTTATTCAAGGAAAGATTCTTATAATAAGAGATAGGAGGCTTAAGTGGAAGCAGGGAGACAGATGAGAGACTAGTGCAGAAAAGATAGGATGATAGTTTGCAAAAAAGCAGTAGTGGTGAAAGAGTTAAGATTGGGATATTTTTGAAAGTAGAGGTAACAGAACTTGATAGCAGATTGTATGTGTATGGAAATGAGGGAAAGATGACTCCAAGATTTTTGACTTCAGCAACTGGTATTGCCATTTAAGATAGCGACAACTGGTGGGGAGGATGTTTTAAGATGAGATGTAAAAAGAGAAAGATATTCTGTTTTGGACCTGTTACATGTGAAATTCTATTTGAATTGTAAGTAGTTATTTGAACATATAAATACAAAGCTCAGGGAGAATGTCTGGCCTGAAAATAAAAAGTAGGGAATCATTAAATACAGATGCCATTCTATCCATGAGATTGTAGGTGATCTTCTGTGGGGAGAATATTGATTAGGAGGAAAACGGGGCCTAGAACTAAGCTACTGGGGCATTACAATTTTCAGATGTTCAGATAGGGAGGAGGAACTAATATAGACTAGACGTATATTTTGTTCTATAGTTTTTCTTTTAAAACTCTTTTTTACTTTCAAAATCAAATCAATTAACATTTTAGTGATCTGGAAAACATATAACTCAACATGTTCAAATTATTTCAATTCATTATACAAAATAAGTATGAAAAGCCTCTTAGATATACTGAATTAAAATTACTTTATGATATCCAATTTTAGAAGTAAATGTGGAACAGGTTATAAATGTGACTTACTTTTCAGAAACATTTCTGTGAGTTTGAAGGAAATGCTTAGAGAATAGTCCTAATCTGTCTGAACACTAGTATAAAATATTCAAGTAGAGATAAAAGACTTGAAAATTATGACTCATAATCTAACAGATCATCTGTAATTTTTTGAATCTTAGGCCATTGTAAGTAAGATCTGGTAATATGTAAGAAAGTAAAAAAGTACAGAAAAGATAATTTGATTCAAATCTGCATTCTTAATTATCACTATGTTATGGTTAGAAATAAATTAGTATTTATTTTTATCTTTTCACACTGCATTTAACTATTTAGCACTGTGACATTTGTTGGTATTGTATTTCTTCAGTCTTTGATAAATTTTCTAATTTACTAACTTATATTTGTCAGTCGCTAAAAAGGCCTGTACTTTTTTTCTAAAAATATATTAATGAAAAAGTTATCTTTCTGTAAACATTTCATTATACTACAAATGAAACATCTGAATCCATTACAGAACACTTCTGAATTCTTAAAAATCAGAAAACATACTGAAGTTTTAAAGTAATTTTGAATATTTAGATAGGCTAACAATCCTTCCATTACCCTTGCACACTGGCATGCTTATTCACTAATTTGTGACTTTACTGGAACTCCAAGAGATACTGTCAATTAGGTTTCAATTTGTGACTATTATATACTGGAACTCTTAAAACCAAGCCTATTTCAATTAGTTACTTAACAGATATACTTTATTACCACATATTCTCCTTTAGGACATGAGTATAAATTCAGCTTTTTAGAAGTGTAATATTAGAAGCAGTAACCTACAAATTGGTTTAACAAAATCAGTTAAATCTGCCCCAACCACTTATATAACATTTTTTTTTTTACTGCTGCTACAACTTATGAGAATACTGTATTTTTTAGAAATGACAATGGAACTATGTTTAAATAAAATAATTTTATTTCATAAAAAGAAATGAACTAGAAAGAACAATGCCCTTAAAAAATAAAAATGTTTGCTTCACTAAAACCATGTTATGAAGGAAATTCATCAAAGGCTGTTACTTTATTCAACACATGTGTAGATATTGGGTTCTGATATAGATACAGAGCCAACCAGTCATTTTCTGAGACTAAACACTGGCAGACTGCTTTTTCTTGTAGGGAACTGATAATTTAGAAACTAGTTTGCATTTTCAGTATTTGTCTCCAACGGATTTTTTTTTTTTTAAGTAAACTAACCGCCTAAATTGTTAAGCCTTTTTGGGGCAGCAAAAACATCCCTTATTACCCATCAACAACCTGTTTGAACAGTAATTCGTATTCTTTGGGAAAATGTCTTTTTACAAAGGAGCACTGATTGGGCCCCCACTGCTTAACAGATGAACCAAAACAAAAAAGGAACTAAAGGCCTGTACTTTTAAGAAGTGAACAAAAGAATATATAATCTGATCCTTACCATCATAATTCCTGATGAAAAATTCTTAGGAAAAATGTGTTTTATGCCACCATTTACTAATGTTTGTAAAATTTGTTGGTGATTTGTAATGCTTTATAATGGTTTTAAGTACCTGGTTTCTTAAAGCAATAAAATTGCTTGCTTATCCTGTGATAATTTTTGTAAAGAATAGCTTTCTGTAACATTTTATATAAATGTGGAAATAGCATAATATTCAAATTATGGCCTTTATCCCAGTATATTGTCATTATGAGATGCATGTTTGCTTTCCTATTACACTTTATTTAGAATTCATTAATTTAACATAGGCTTATTGAGTAACCTGTGCTGTGCCAGGCACTGTGAGTTCCTGGAAGGCAGGATCTCTATGTCTGTTCATCTTTGTGTCCCAGAGCCTGACTCATGGGAAGGCTTTAGGAAATATTAGAGGAGTGATAAGTACATATTCAGATAATTTTTTCCCAATTTTTAAAATGTGAGCATTGCTTTCTTTTTTTTTTTTTTTTGAGACAGAGTCTCACTCTGTTGCCAGGCTGAAGTGCAGTGGTGCAATCTCGGCTCACTGCAACCTCTGCCCCCCGGGTTCAAGCGATTCTCCTGCCTCAGCCTCCTGAGTAGCTGGGACTACAGGCACACACCACCACTCTCAGATAATTTTTGTATTTTTAGTAGAGACGGGGTTTCACCATGTTGGCCAGGATGGTCTCGATCTCTTGACCTCGTGATCCACCTGCCTTGGCCTCCCAGAGTGTTGGGATTATAGGCCTGAGCCACCCTGCCCGGCTTGCTTTCATTCTTTAGGTATTAGGATTTAGTCCATATGTAAATATGGGCAGCAAAAAGAACATTTTTTGTTAATTCACCAACTATGATATTTAATTTATGTGTTATTTCTGTTTTTGAGTTTTGAAAATTAGTTTTGTTTGATCTTTAATTATGCTATATGTACAAATAGTCATCTTAAGATATATTATTATTCATGACATCTGTGGGTCAAAATATAGCATCATACATTACAATTGTATTAGTTTTTTTATTTTTTTAAATACTAGTGCATTTTTTTTTATTGCTGTGTAACAAATTGCCACAAATACAGTGGCTTAAACCAACACCCGTTTATCAGCTCACAGTTCTATAGATCAGAGGTCTGGGCAGCTCTTTAAAGTTCCCTTCTTTGTCTCTCAAAATGTTGAAATCAAGATGTTGATCAAACTGGGTTCTTATCTGTAGGTTCTAGGGAAAAGTCAGCTTCCAAGTTCAACTAGATTGTTGGCCGAATTAAGTTCTTTAGGACAGAAGTCCATGTTTTCTTTCTGATTGTCAGCCAGTGGGTCTCTCTGAGCTCATAAATGCTGTTTACATTCCTTGAGATATGGCTACCTCCATCCTCAAGCTAGCCAAGGCACATCAAATCGTTCTCATGCTTCAAATTCTGACTTCCTTGTCAAAGGAAAATTCTCTGCTTTTAAAGGGTTCACCTAATTGGGTCCAGCTCATTCAGCTGATCTACATATTTTAAAGTCAAATGGACTGATAGTTTAATTATGTCTACAAAAATCATTTCAAAGTAGTAGGTAGATAAGTGGTGATTTAAAAAATCAGTGATGGGAATCTTGGGGGGGTTTCTTTAGAATTCTGCCTGTCACAACTAGTTTACTCAGTTTTAGTTAAAACGTGCTGCTCTCTCTGTCACCATTATCCATTCCTATAGTCCTTCCTTTTTACAATGTGTTTTCAATTTCTAGTTTCTGTGTTTATAGGACTTGAGATATTTCTATCTTAGTGCTAGTTAGAGCATTTTCATTATTTAATTTTTGTGTTTATTTCCTTCTTCCATATGTCACTCAACAAGTTTTAAATTTAAATTATCAGTTGTAGATGTTTCTTATTTTCCAATCATGTTGTCTAATCTGCATTTTAAAAACATTCATTGTCTTGTCTTTTCTGTTACTGAGAGAAGTATTTTGAAAACTGCTTTTTTTGCCCACTTGCCTATTTCCTAGTAATTCAGTCCATTTTTCTTTATATATTTTGAGACTGTTATTAATTATTTTAACTTCCTGGCAAAGGAAGTTTGAAGTATCACTTTTTAGTTTTAGCTTTTTTGCTTGAGAGTCTGTGTATGCATGTGTGTTTACATATGTATTCTGGTATCAATGAAGCTATATAAACTTTCTTTGGTTTAGTGTCTTTTTTGACATTTTTTTCTTCCTTTTACTTTCAACCTTTCTGTATCCTTGTGCTTTTGTTGTTTCTGTGGGTTTTTTTTTTGGTTTTTGTCTTTTTATATCTAATTTAAAAATTTTTATCTTTTAATTAGAACTTTTTAGTAAATTTAATAATTTAAGTGTTATAGTTGGGTTTAAATCTTCCACTGATGAAGTGTTTCCTATTTCCTCTCACCTGCCTATCTTCTATTTCTGCGTTTTTATTGCCTTTATGATTTGAGTATTTTTAGGATTTTGAAAAATTATTTTAAAATATTTTTATATTAGCTTGGAAATTATACTGTTTTATTTTTATCGTAGTGGATAGTTAGCGATTACCTCTTTCACTTATCAAAGTCAGGTATTAGTTGATGACTTTTATCTTATTCCTCAATAATGCCAGAACACTATAACATTTTAATTTTGTTTATCGTTTTCCTCAATTTCTGCTATTATTTTCATATATTTTGATTTATTTATACCTTAGAACCAAGAACATTAGTATTGGTTTGTATAGGCAGTCAATTGTCATATAGATTTGCCCATTTATACATTTGTTATTTCATTGCTCTGTTTTCTTTTCATCTAAGATACTACCTGTGTTCATTTACCCTCTGTCTGAGGTATACTCTTTAGTCTTTTAGTATGGTTCTGCTGGTGAAGAATTATCTTTTTCTTTTTATTGTGTCTAAAATATTTAAAAATGCATTTTTGGATTTAGAATTATATGTTGGCAGCCATTATTCAGCACTTTAAAATATTCAATTATATTTGGCTTCCATTGTTTCTGTGGAGAATTCAAAAACATCTAAATACTGTCTATTTAAATATTGCTTGTTTGATGATAGTATATATTTGCTTTCATGATGCTTCCAAAATTTTCTCATTGTCTTTGGTTTTTGAAAATTTTACTATGATGTACCTAGCTATTTTTGTTTTTTGTATCCTTATCCTGCTTGATTTACATACTGCTTCTTGAGTCTGTGTCTTGATGTATTCTTTATTTTTCCAGTTTTAGAAAGTTCTTAGTCAGTATATCTCTTCTTTTGCCTCATACTCCTGCCCACTTTTCAATTCCAAATAAATACTTCCTTTTTTTTCCTCTTACAACTTTTTCATTTTCTATCCTTTTGTTCCCCCATGTTTCATTTTGGTATTTTATTGAACTACTCTTCCAGTTCAGCAATTCTCTCTTCTGTGTATAATCTGCTGTTTGAATAATGCATTAAGTTTTTCATTTTAATTATTTTATTTTTATTTCCACGATAGGCAGTATATCACAAAATGATCAACATTTTGGGGCAGTCTGTTCAACTGGGAATCTGTTGTCTATTCATAATGCTTAGTATAACCACAGGGATTTAAGGATTGTTTTTAGATAGAGTTGTGGTATGTAAAGGAAGTAAAATAAGCATATTCTTTCTTCTTCAGGAGCTTAAAGGCAAAAACAGAAAATAGGCAGAAGGAAAGATTAAAAATGCATAAACAAATTTATATACTTTTTAAATGAGTAAATAAACATATTAAAGGAATTAAGGCATTTTGAGAATGAAAGCAAAATTGGTGAAAATCTGAATTATATTATTAATATAATATAATTAATATTGACTTAATATTATTCCAATATTACATCAATGGAAGAAAATAAAGTACAATATCATTTATATTATAGAAAAACATTGGAAACAAATTAACTAATAATAATGGAATATGTAACATAACACAGAAAATCAAGCAACTGGAATATTATTTGATGATAAAAATTGAACAGTTTATTCTACTGCCATGCTTGCTTCTTTAATGTGAATTAGCTCACCTGTTATTTGAGAAAAGGAGAAAGAAGTCAGTAAGGCTCAGAAGTTGTCTTGGTTCATATGCACTTATGTTTTGAGGCAGCAATCTTTGTGATAAACAAGGTTTCTTATGATTAAAGATAAAGGCTTAGCAATTTATGAAGGTCTTAAGAAGAGCATAAAGAAGTGCAAAGATATTTCTTTTTGTATTAAACAAAACAAAACAAAGCAAAACAATGCCTCTCCTCCACAACTACCCATTGATTGATAAAATCTACCTCAAATGATATTTTTATCATTGATGAACCTAGTTTATATTAGGGGTGAATGCACTCACGACCTAGTTCCTGTGAAAGGAGGCATAATTTCCCAGCAGAGGATGGCATGATTGTGATGTCTGTGGAGACTGACTTTTTAAGAGAGCTTTTTTATTTATTATTTATTTTCAACTTTCATTTTAGATTCAGGGGGTACATGTGTAGATTTGTTTTATGGGTATATTGTGTGATGCTGAGGTTTGGGGTATGAATGATCCTGTCACCCAGGTAGTGAGCATGGTACCCAAGCGATTGTTTTTCAATCCTTGTGCCTTTCCTTCCCTCCTTCTAGTCCCCAGTGTCTACTGTTCCCATCTCGATGTCCATGTATACCCAGTGTTTAGCTTCCATTTATAGGCAAGAACATGTGGTATTTGGTTTTCTGCTTCTGAATTAATTAACTTTGGATAACAGCCTCCAGCTGCATTCAAGTTGCTACCAAGGACACAGTTTCATTCTTTTTTATGGCTGCATAGTATTCCATTGTGTTTATGTACCACATTTTCTTTATCTAATCCACTGTTTTATCTAATCCACTGTTGGGCATCTAGGTTAATTTCATGTTTTTGTTATTGTGAATAGCACTGCGTTGAACATACCAGTGCATGTATCTTTTCGGTAGAACAATTTATTTTCCTTTGGTTACATACCCAGTAATGGTATTCCTGTGTCAAACGGTAGTGCTAATTTTAGTTCTTTGAGAAATCTCCAAACTGCTTTCCACAGTGGCTGAAACAATTTACATTCCTACTAACAATGTATGAGTGTTCCCTTTTCTCTGCAGCTTTGCCAGCATCTATTTTTTTTTTTTTTTACTTTTTAATAATAGGAATTCTAACTGGTGTGTGATGGTATCTCATTATGGTTTTGATTTGCATTTCTCTGATGATTAGTAAGCTGCTGTAAAGTGAAAAAAAAAATTAACAGAGTAAACAGCCTACAGAATGGGAGAAAAGTTTCACAAACTATTCATTCAACAAAGACCTAATATCCAGAATCTATAAGGAACTTAACAAATCAACCAGCAAGAAAGGAATAACCCCATTCTTAAGTGGGGAAAGGACATGAACAGACACTTCTCTAAAGAAGACATACAATTGGCCAACAAACATATGAGGCATCTTTTAAATAGATTAGAACAGGCTGGGTGCGGTGGCTCACGCCTGTAATCCCAGCACTTTAGGAGGCTGAGGTGGGCAGATCACTTGGAGTCAGAAGTTTGAGACCAGCCTGGCCAACATGGTGAAACCCCATCTCCACTAAAAGAAATAGAAAAATTAGCAGGGTGTGGTGGTGCGCGCCTGTAATCCCAGCTACTCAGAGGCTGAGGCATGAGAATTGCTTCAACCTGGAAGGCAGGGAGGTTGCAGTGAGGGGAGATCGCGCCACTGCACTCCAGCCTGAGCAACATAGTGAGACTCCATCTCAAAAAAAGGTAAATAAATAAATTAGAAGAGTATTTGTTAGTGTACAGGTTATGAAGTTCTTTTGGTTTTGAGGAGTTCTGTTTCAACCCAATATTTCCCACAAACACTGTTATATTTACTGGAAGAATTTTTAAAATACAGAGATTTTCAGGAACACATATAGTCATGTGTTGGTTGGTGATGGAAATATGCTCTGAGAAATATGTTGTTAGGTAATATTGTCCTTGTATGAACATCATAGAGCGTAATTACACAAACCTAGATGGTATATAGCTTACTACACAGCTAAGCCATATGGTATAGCCTATAGCTCCTACATTACAAACCTGCATAGCGTATCACTGCACTGAATACTATAGGCAACTGTGACACAATGGCAAGTATTACCCCCATAGTGTATCTAAACACAGAAAAGATACTGTAAAAATACAGTATAAAAGATGAAAAAATGGTACACCTGTATAGGGCACTTACTGTGAATGGAGCTTTTGAGACTGGAAGTAGCTTTGGATGAGTGAGTGAGTGCATGTTGAGTGAATGCTGTACCCTTAGGCTACACTATATTTATTAAAATTATTTTCTTCAATAATAAATTAACCTTAGCCTACTCTAACTTTTCTACTCCATAAATTTTCAAATTTTTAAAAACTTTTTTGATTATTTTGTAATAATGCTTAGTTTAAAGCACAAACACATTGTACTGTGTACAAAAATATTTTCTTTATATCCTTATTCTGTAAGCTTTTTTTCTATTTTTAAACTTTAAAATAGAAAAAAAAGTTTCAACTTTTTGTTGTTGTTGTTGTTAAAAACTAAGACACAAACACACACGTTAGCCAGGGCCTACACAGGGTCAGGATAATCAGTATGTCACTAGGCAACAGGAATTTTTCAGCTCCATTATCATTTTATGGGGCCACTGTTGGATGTGTGGTTCATCATTGACCAAGACATTGTTTTGCAGCTCACGATTGTGTATGTTACTCTAGCAGAAACACCTAACTTAATAAAATTATTAAAAGCATGTAGATTACGTTAGATTAAAAGAAGGTATAACATTATATTATGATGAGAATTAATTGGAAACTATGTTTTATGCATATGACAAAGACTGGAAAATAAAGGCAGAAATAAAAACGTTTGGATTTTCATGTTTAGCAGCATCAGTATTGTTATTGTGTCAGAGATAACTGCTACAGATAGGAACCTCTCCTTCTGTGGCGCATAGTTGTCTCTGGAAAGCAGCCTCCCAACCAGTGACTGCCTTTTTAAATGTCTTGTTTAGGTGGGGTACTGTGATTTGCTCTTGCCCACAGAATTGAAATAACGTGACATCGGAGATGAATTGATTAAGAAGTCAGTATTCCCAAGAAGTCAGTGTTCTGGCCAGGCGTGGTGGCTCACGCCTGTAATTGCAGCACTTTGGGAGGCCTAGGCGGGCAGATCATTTGAGGTCAGGAGTTCGAGACCAGCCTGGTCAACATGGTGAAACCCTGTCTCTACTAAAAATACAAAAATTAGCCAGGCATGGTGGCACGCACTTGTAGTCCCAGCTACTCGGGAGGCTGAGGCAGGAGAATCGCTTGAACCCAAGAGGCAGATGTTGCAGTGAGCTGAGATTACGCTATTAACACTTCAACCTGGGTGACAGGGTTAGACTCTGTCTCACCCCAGGAGAACTTGGGAAGTCTCCTGTAGAAGATGGCAAAGCCATTGACAGCCTGGGTCCTAAATACCTGCTTGGAATAGATCCTCCCCCACCTCCACCTCCACCCTCACTGACCTGAATCATGTGGTAAAAAGTTAATGTTTTATTGGGATTTTTAAATTTTTTGGTCAAGAACCTAGTATTTTTCCTTACAGATACAATCACATTGTTTCTAAAAATATTTAACATCTATTTCTCATTTTGAAATACATGGAGTAACTTGTATCAGTGGAATATCTTTGGTGAACATATTTTAAAGAGAATTTGAAACAAACTTCTTATCAAGTGACTGAAAGAACCCCTCTTCCCCCTCCATATATATTTTGGAGGATGGTGGCCATGGTTACATTAATAGAGCTTTAAATAATAATGGATTTCAAATATTGGGTCTTAGTATTGAGTAGGCCTGGAAGCCAAACTGAAGGTATATTTTCCAATAATAGTCTTATTTCTTATTCCTGGCACAATCCAAAAACAAAAACAAGAGCATTATATTTTATGGGGTGGTGAGGGCAGGTGAGTCAGATTGTTAGTTGAAAGGAAGTGACACTGTTATATATAACTAAGTTCATTGTAATAGAGGTGGCTTTGCAAATTATAAAGGAAGTTCATAATACTTGAGTTGATCTTTTTTTACTTCAAATATATTACTGTCACCTAGAATTTATGTTGGTGATGAAAGTGTGTATGTGGTCGTGTGCATGTGTGTGTCAATATGTATACGTGGTTTAATATTTACTTGATAGGGCCGGGCGCGGTGGCTCACACTTGTAATCCCAGCAATTTGGGAGGCTGAGGTGCGTGGATAAACTGAGGTCAGGAGTTTGAGACCAGCCTGGCCAACATGGTGAAACCCCATCTCTACTAAAAATACAAAAACTAGCCGGGTGTGGTGGTGGGTGCCAGTAATCCC
Organism: Homo sapiens; assembly: GCF_000001405.40. Lineage (NCBI taxonomy): Eukaryota > Metazoa > Chordata > Mammalia > Primates > Hominidae > Homo > Homo sapiens. The sequence continues at coordinate 97,802,603 of NC_000004.12, read as the reverse complement.
TGCTATTTGGGAGGCTTAGGCAGGAGAATCACTTGAACCTGGGAGATGGAGGTTGGAGTGAGCCCAGATCCCACCATTGCACTCCAACCCAGGCAACCAGAGTGAAACTCTGCCAAAAATATATATATTTAACTTCATATATATATGTATATTTACTTGATAGAAAACTAGAAGGAAAATGAGGAATGTTTATAACTCCTTGTCAGTGTAGAGAAAACACTGAAGGAGACCAGAATGGAGTACTTCTGACATCCTTAGTGTGTGCTTTGAGACTCATGGGAGAATGCCATATACAGTTGTCAAATGTTCTCTAGAATATGTTTTGAAAGTAATTTAGATATGCAGAGATGAATCTGAGGTGAAACCACATCATTCAAAATGTCTCCTAAAGGATAGTGGTTTTGAAGAAGAATGTGCTCTTATGGAGAGATGTGGGCCTGAGGATAGGGCACAAAATTAGACTAAAACAGTGTTTCTCAAAGTGTGGTTCCTGGAGTAACAGCATCAAAATCACCTGGAGCTTTATTAGAGATTCAAATTCTTAGACGCTTACCTGACCTAAAGATTCAGACACTCTAGAGGTGGAGTCCAACCAACCTCTGTTGTAACAAGTCCTCCTGGTGATTCTAATGCATGCTAGTTTGAGAAACACTGAACTAAAGCTTAGTCTTATTTGATGTAAAGTTAACGTTACATTGTAATTCCTGTTATGCCAATCCTTTATTAAAGTTTGAAACATCTGTTCAGTTCTAATTGATGGCATTGCAGAGAATAAAGGGATAGGATAGGAAAGGTGAAGCAAGTGAATAAGGGACTAGTGCAAAACTGAGAATGGGTCATGGCCTGCTATGCTGTGAAGAAAGTAAAAAAAAAGGAATGTGAGACAATCCCCATACTGCCTTCCCCAGTGTTCCCCAGTGTATATTATGGGGAAGAAGAAAGAAAAAAAGAGACATTTTTTAAAGGGTTTTAATATGAGCTACTTTCTGCTATAATTTTATTTCTGAACAGCACCCAGCCATGTCATTGGCCAAAATACTGCCCTAGATTTGTGCCTGGTTTGCATACTCACCATAGCTTCTATATTACTGGCAAAAGAAATCGTTGTGCAAGTTCTTCAAATACCACTTCAAACAGAAAGGTTTTTGTTTTTGAGAATGATGTGATAGTAGTATTAGGGTTGATGAAGGGATGTAGAAAGGATGAAAGGGGAAGTAGGAAGGGAAGGAGATAGATTTTCTTAAGCTGGGTGGATGATAAAAAAGTGTAGAAATGGGGAGGTTCCAAGATGGCTGAATAGGAACAGCTCCAGTCTACAGCTCCCAGCGTGAGCAACGCAGAAGACGGGTGATTACTGCATTTCCAACTGAGGTACTGGATTCATCTCACTGGGGCTTGCTGGACGGTGGGTGCAGGACAGTGGGTGCAGCCCACTGAGCATGAGCTGAGGCAGGGCGAGGCATTGCCTCACCCGGGAAGCACAAGGGGTCAGAGAATTCCCTTTCCTAGCCAAGAGAAGCTGTGACAGACGGCACCTGGAAAATTGGGTCAGTCCGACCCTAATACTGCAATTTTACAATGGTCTTAGCAAACGGCACACCAGGAGATTCTCTCCTGCACCTGGCTAGGAGGGTCCCATGCCCACGGAGCCTTGCTCATTGCTAGCACAGCAGTCTGAGATCCAACTGCAAGGTGGCAGCGAGGCTGGGGGAGGGGTGCCTGCCATTGCTGAGGCTTGAGTAGGTAAACAAAGTGGCCAGGAAGCTCAAACTGGGTGGAGTCCACCACAGCTCAAGGAGGCCTGCCTGCCTCTGTAGACTCCAACTCTGGGGGTAGGGCATAGCCAAACAAAAGGCGGCAGAAACCACTGCAGACTTGAATGTCCCTGTCTGACAGCTTTGAAGAGAGTAGTGGTTCTCCCAGCATGGAGTTTGAGATCGGAGAATGGACAGACTGCCTCCTCAAGTGGGTCCCTGACCCCTGAGTAGCCTAACTGGGAGGCACCCCCCATTAGGGGCAGACTGACACCTCACACGGCCGGGTACCACTCTGAGACGAAGCTTCCAGAGGAACGATCAGGCAGCAACATTTGCTGTTCAGCAATATTCGCTATTCTGCAGCCTCCACTGCTGATACCCAGATAAAAAGGGTCTGGAGTGGATCTCCAGCAAACTCTAACAGGCCTGCAGCCAAGGGCCCTGACCGTTAGAAGGAAAACTAACAAACAGAAAGGATGTCCACACCAAAACCCCATTTGTACGTCACCATCATCAAAGACCAAAGTAGATAAAACCACAAAGCTGGGGAAAAAAACAGAGCAGAGAAACTGAAAATTCTAAAAATCAGAGCACCTCTCCTCCTCCAAAGGAACGCAGCTCCTTGCCAGTAATGGAACGAAGCTGGACAGAGAATGACTTTGACGAGTTGAGAGAAGAAGGCTTCAGACGATCAAAGTACTCCGAGCTAAAGGAGGAAGTTCAAATCCATCGCAAAGAAGCTAAAAACCTTGAAAAAAGGTTAGATGAATGGCTAACTAGAATAATCAGTGTAGAGAAGTCCTTAAATGACCTGATGGAACTGAAAACCATGGCACGAGAACTACGTGACAAATTCACAAGCTTCAGCAGCCGATTTGATCAATTGGAAGGAAGGGTATCAGTGATGGAAGATAAATGAATGAAATGAAGCGAGAAGAGAAGTTTAGAGAAAAAAGGGTAAAAAGAAATGAACAAAGCCTCCAAGAAATATGGGACTATGTGAAAAGACCAAATCTATGTCTGACTGGTGTACCTGAAAGTGACGGGGAGAATGGAACCAAGCTGGAAAACACTCTGCAGAATATTATCCAGGAAAACTTCGCCAACCTAGCAAGGCAGGCCAACATTCAAATTCAGGAAATACAGAGAATGCCACAAAGATACTCCTTGAGAAGAGCAACTCCAAGACACATAATTGTCAGTTTCACCAAAGTTGAAATGGAGGAAAAAATGTTAAGGGCAGCCAGAGAGAAAGGTCGGGTTACCCACAAAGGGAAGCCCATCAGACTAACAGCGGATCTCTCGGCAGAAACTCTACAAGCCAGAAGAGAGTGGGGGCCAATATTCAACATCCTTTAAGAAAAGAATTTTCAACCCAAAATTTCATATCCAGCCAAACAAAGTTTCATAAGTGAAGGAGAAATAAAATCCTTTACAGACAAGCAAATGCTGAGAGATTTTGTCACCACCAGGCCTGTCCTACAAGAGCTCCTGAAGGAAGCACTAAACATGGAAAGGAACAACTTGTACCAGCCACTGCAAAAACATGCCAAACTGTAAAGACCATCGATGCTAGGAAGAAACTGCATCAATAACGAGCAAAATAACCAGCTAACATCAGAATGACAGGATCAAATTCACACATAACAATATTAACCTTAAATGTAAATGGGCTAAATGCTCCAATTAAAAGACACAGACTGACAAACTGGATAAAGAGTCAAGACCCATCAGTGTGCTGTATTCAGGACACCCATCTCACATGCAGAGACACACAGAGGCTCAAAATAAAGGGATGGAGGAAGATCTATGAAGAAAATGGAAAACAAAAAAAGGCAGGGGTTGCAATCCTAGTTTCTGATAAAACAGACTTTAAAACAACAAAGATCAAAAGACACAAAGAAGGCCATTACATAATGGTAAAGGGATCAATTCAACAAGAAGAGCTAACTGTCTTAAATATATATGCACCCAATACAGGAGCACCCAGGTTCATAAAGCAAGTCCTTAGAGACCTACAAAGAGACTTAGACTCCCACACAATAATAATGGAAGACTTTAACACCCCACTGTCAACATTAGACAGATCAACGAGACAGAAAGTTAACAAGGATATCCAGGAATTGAACTCAGCTCTGCAACAAGTGGACCTAATAGACATCTGCAGAATGCTCCACCCCAAATCAACAGAATATACATTCTTCTCAGCACCACATCACACTTATTCCAAAATTGACCACAGAGTTGGAAGTAAAGCACTTCTCAGCAAATGTAAAAGAACAGAAATTATAACAAACTGTCTCTCAGACCACAGTGCAATCAAACTAGAACTCAGGATTAAGAAACTCACTGAAAACCGCTCAACTGCATAGAATCTGAACAACCTGCTCCTGAATGACTATGGGGTTCATAACGAAATGAAGTCAGAAATCAAGATGTTCTTTGAAACCAACGAGAACAAAGACACAACATACCAGAATCTCTGGGACACATTTAAGGCAGTGGGTAGAGGGAAATTTATAGCACTATATGCCCACATGAGAAAGTAGGAAAGATCTAAAATTGACACCCTAACATCACAATTAAAAGAACTAGAGAAGCAAGAGCAAACACATTCAAAAGCTAGCAGAAGGCAAGAAATAACTAAGATCAGAGAAGAACTGAAAGAGATAGAGACACAAAAATCCCTTCAAAAAATCGATGAATCCAGGAGCTAGTTTTTTGAAAAGATCAAGAAAATTGATAGACCACTAGCAAGAGTAATAAAGAAGAGAGAAGAATCAAATAGATGCAATAAAAAACGATAAAGAGGATATCACCACTGATCCCACAGAAATACAAACTACCATCAGAGAATACTATAAACACCTCTATGCAAATAAACTAGAAAATCTAGAAGAAATGGATAAGTTCCTGGACACATACACCCTCCCAAGACTAAACCAGGAAGAAGTTGAATTCCTTAATAGACCAATAACAGGCTCTGAAATTGAGGCAATAATTAATAGCCTACCAACCAAAAAAAGTCCAGGACCAGACGGATTCGCAGCCGAATTCTACCAAAGGTACAAGGAGGAGCTGGTACCATTCCTTCTGAAACTATTCCAGTCAATAGAAAAAGAAGGAATCCTCCCTAACTCATTTGTGAGGCCAGCAACATCCTGATACCAAAGCCTGGAAAAGACACAACAAAAAAAGAGAATTTTAGACCAATATCCCTGATGAACATCAATGCAAAAATCATGAATAATACACTGGCTAACCAAATCCAGCAGCACATCAAAAAGTTTATCCACTGTGATCAAGTGGGCTTCATCCCTGGGATGCAAGTCTGGTTCAACATAGGCAAATCAATAAACGTAATCCAGCATATAAACAGAACCAAAGACAAAAACCACAGGATTATCTCAATAGATGCAGAAAAGGCCTTTGACAAAATTCAACAGCCCTTCATGCTAAAAACTCTCAAGAAATTAGGTATTGATGGGGCATGTCTCAAAATAATAAGAGCTATTTATGACAAACCCACAGCCAATATCATACTGAATGGGCAAAAACTGGAAGCATTCCCTTTGAAAACTGGCACAAGACAGGGATGCCCTCTCTCACCACTCCTATTCAACATAGTGTTGGAAGTTCTGGCCAGGGCAATCAGGCAGGAGAAATCAATAAAGGGTATTCAATTAGGAAAAGAGGAAATCAAATTGTCTCTGTTTGCAGATGACGTGATTGTATGTGTAGAAAACCCCATTGTCTCAGCTCAAAATCTCTTTAAGCTGATAAGCAACTTCAGCAAAGTCTCAGGATACAAAATCAATGTGCAAAAATCACAAGCATTCTTATACACCAATAACAGAGAGCCAAATCATGAGTGAACTCCCATTCACAATTGCTTCCAAGAGAATAAAATACCTAGGAATCCAACTTACAAGGGATGTGAAGGACCTCTTCAAGGAGAACTACAAACCAGTGCTCAACGAAATAAAAGAGGACATAAACAAATGGAAGAACATTCCAGGCTCATGGATAGGAAGAATCATGAAAATGACCATACTGCCCAAAGTAATTTACAGATTTAATGCCATCCCCATCAAGCTACCAATGACTTTCTTCACAGAATTGGAAAAAACTACTTTAAAGTTTATATGGAACTAAGAAAAAGCCAGCATTGCCAAGACAATCCTAAGCCAAAAGAACAAAGCTGGAGGCATCATGCTACCTGACTTCAAACTATACTACAAGGCTACAGTAACCAAAACAGCATGGTACTAGTACCAAAACAGAGAGCTAGACCAGTGGAACAGAACAGAGCCCTCAGAAATAATACCACACATCTACTACCATCTGATCTTTGACAAACCTGACACAAACAAGAAATGGGGAAAGGATTCCCTATTTAATAAATGATGCTGGGAAAACTGGCTAGCCATATGTAGAAAGCTGAAACTGGATCCCTTCCTTACACCTTATAAAAAAATTAATTCAAGATGGATTAAAGACTTCAATGTTAGACCTAAAACCATAAAAACCCTAGAAGAAAACCTAGGCAATACCATTTAGATCGTAGGCATGGGCAAGGACTTCATGTCTAAAACATCAAAAGCAATGGCAACAAAAGCCAAAATTGACAAATGGGATCTAATTAAACTAAAGAGCTTCTGCACAGTGAAAGAAACTACCATCAGAGTGAACAGGCAACCTACAGAATGGGAGAAAATTTTTGCAATCTATTCATCTGACAAAGGGCTAATATCCAGAATCTACAAAGAACTCAAACAAATTTACAAGAAAAAAACAAACAACCCCATCTAAAAGTGGACGAAGGATATGAGCAGACACTACTCAAAGGAAGACATTTATGCAGCCAACAGACACATGAAAAAATGCTCATCATCACTGGCCATCAGGGAAATGCAAATCAAAACCACAATGAGATATCATCTCACACCAGTTAGAATGGTGGTCATTAAAAAGTCAGGAAACAACAGGTGCTGGAAAGGATGTGGAGAAATAGGAACACTTTTACACTGTTGGTGGCACTGTAAACTAGTTCACCCATTGTGGAAGACAGTGTGGCGATTCCTCAGGGATCTAGAACTAGAAATACCATTTGACCCAGCCATCCCATTACTGGGTATATACCCAAAGGATTATAAATCATGCTGCTTTAAAGACACATGCACACATATGTTTATTGTGGCACTATTCACAATAGCAAAGACTTGGAACCCATCCAAATGTCCATCAATGTATGATAGACTGGATTAAGAAAATGTGGCACAGATACACCATGGAATACTATGCTGCCATAAAAAAGATGAGTTCATGTCCTTTGTAGGGACATGGATGAAGCTGGAAACCATCATTCTCAGCAAACTATCACAAGGACAAAAAACCAAACACTGCATGTTCTCACTTATAGGTGGGAATTGAACAATGAGAACACTTGGACACCAGAAGGGTAACATCACACACTGGGGCCTGTCGTAGGATGAGGGGAGGTGGGAGGCATAGCATTAGGAGATATACCTAATGTAAATGACGAGTTATTGGGTGCAGCACACCAACATGGCACATGTATACATATGTAACAAACCTGCACGTGGTGCACATGTACCATAGAACTTAAAGTATAATAAAGAAAGAAAGAAAAATTAATAAAAAAAGTAGAAACACATGTGTTTTGGAGCAAGGAAGAGCCCTTTTCAAACCTAGGAAATATAATCATAGAAATTCAGAGAATCAAGGAATGAAATGTCATTAACTAAATGACAAAAAGTCATGGTTAAAGAAATAGGGTGAGATACAAAAACTGAAGATTGTCATTATTATAGTGGCTGTATTTTTTTTCTGTGTATTATTACAAGCTTTGTGGCCAGAAATTATCATTTTTGCAACCATTAATTTAGTCAAGGAATTACAAAACCTGGTTTCTAATTTAAGTTTAATCATTTCCATGTAGTGCACTGTTGTAGTTGAATTAAACAAAAATATGTTCCAGTTAGATATAATATTCTTTTCAAGCAAGCCACGTCTAATTTTGTAGAGCCAATCTTTGGAAAAACTGCACTATTGTTCTAAAGTGAAATTAAAAATCAAACACTTGGAACACAGAAAGAACTTCTTTTATAGTAGAAGCTATAATAAAGGTTTTAAAATAGTTAAATATAGGATAATTGTTATATAAAGTGCAGCTAGACAATGCTGCACATTTATTAAAACTCAACACTCTATGGTATGGTAGTTTCATATGGTAGCTTTAGAGAAGGCTCATATTATCCAATTTGTTATACTTATTGGAGCTTCATTTCAATTAAAACACTTTGCAATTTTCTTATTCTTTTTGAAATATTTTAAAACCCATTAGTGTGTCAGTGACTTGGCATTGCACTCTAATTGCAATAGATTTCAAGTGATAAAAATTGATTTTAGTAGCATACTTTGTAGAGTCAGCATTGGTTACCTGAATACATTACAGTTCTCTATAACTTAAGACATCATTCTGTTTTGTTAGAAGCTTTCATTGTCTGAACTTGAGATTATATGGGTAGTTTATTCTTCACTAAGAGAGGGATTTGCATTTAGAGGAAATGTAATAAAATGTGAAATTCTAAGAAATGCAAAGATATTGAAAATATATTTTAAAAGTCTTTTTTACACATAAAGAAAAATTATACTAACTTAGATTCAATATAGCCATCCCTTAAAGTATAGCATTTGGGGAATGTTATTTTATATGTAACTTTTAATGATAAATATATTACAAAGCAATAACAGAGAAGAGCTCAAATTTTATATTGCTATGAAGCTTTGTGGCTTTACCTATTAGTTACAATCAACAACCTCCAAGCCATGCATTTTTTAAAATAAAAAATTATTGCATTAAAATATATATGGAAAAGTATATGAATTATTAGTGTATATCTCTTTCTTTTTATTGAAATGATTCAGGTCTTAGCCACAATTCTACATCTCCACCCCTATTTCACCTGTTTGCTTTACTGATTTGGGACATATAAACTCTACTTTTGCTTTTTTAGTAAATACTATTGGTGTTGCTACATGCACACATAATAGAGTTTGTATTTCATCAATATCCATGTTCTTTGACTGAACAGTGCTTTAGCTTTACTTTTACTTGATCTTATAAATTATTTTATATAATATATTGCTGTTTAGATTCATGTATATTTATTATTTTCTTCATTTATTGTTTCTTTTTGCATTCAGACCTTTCTAGGGTCATTTTCATTCTTGAAATATATCTTTTAGAAACCCCTTTGGTAAAAGATTTTAGTAATAAGCACTCTTATTCACTCATTCATTCAAAGCTGTACATATTGTGTACTGGGCATGAAGTTTTATATGTATGTAAGTGCATGTAAATATACACATAGATATATGCATATGTAACTTTAATAATTTATATGTATGCTATTTCTCTGTGTGTGTGTGTGTGTGTGTGTGTGTGTGTGTATATATAAAACTCTAATTTTATATATATAAATCCCTGCTTTCATGGTGCTAAAATTCTGAGAGATAGGCAAAAAACACAATAAAATATAAAATACATAGTATGTAGTATGTTACATAGTTGTTAGCAGAAAAAATAAAGCAGAAAAATGTGAAAATGGAACAGATTAAATGACGATTTTAGGTAAGGTAGGCAAGGAAAGTCTTACTGCGAAAGTGACTTTTTTTTTGAGATGGTGTCGCCCAGGCTGGAGTGCAGTGGCATGATCTTGGCTTACTGCAACCTCTGTCTCCCAGGTTCCAGTGATTCTCCTGCCTCAGCGTCCCAAGCAGCTGGGATTACAGGTGACTCCCCACCAAGCCTGGCTAATTTTTGTATTATTAGTAGAGATGGGGGTCTCACCATGTTGGCCAGGCTGGTCTCGAACTCCTGACCTCATGCAATCTGCCAGCCTGGGCCTACCAAAGTGCTGCGATTACAGACGTGAGCCACTGTGCCCAGCCAGGAAAGTGACTTTTGAATGAAGACCAAAAGAATTGAGGGGATATGCAGGTATATGATGAAAAAGCACTGCAAAGAGAACAGGTATTGCAAGAAGGTCTGGCAAGTTCAAGATAATATAGCAAGGAAGCTAGTAAAGTTACAACAGAAAGGAGATTTGGAGATTAGATGTGCCTAGACATGTAATGTATATCTAGATATTGTATGACTTGGTAGGCCTTGCTTCACAGTGGGATGGAAGGCTTTTAGAGGGTTTTGAGTAGACCATTGATAAGATCTGATTTATGTTTTGGCCAAGTCACTCTGGTTACTATAGATTATAGACTGAGGTGATCAACAGTAGAAGCAATTAATATAGGCTATTGTCATAACAGTGAGAGATGATGGTGGCTTCAAGTAGAGTGCTGGCAGTGAGGGTGGTGAGAAGTGTTACAGTCAGTATTTTTTGAAAGGTAAAGCACGGAGTATATGCCAATGGTTCTGATTAGACTGAGAAAAGGGAGAAGTCAAGGATTAATTAAAGTTTTAGTGTCTCCCTAGCAGGGGAGATTTGCCATTATCTGAGATAGAGAAAAACGTTAAGAGGTGCTGATTTTTGAGGGATTATCAGGAGCTTATTTTTGGACAATTTAAATTTGAGATAGCTAGAACTATATAGTATATACTATAGCTTTTTAAACATAAAAAATCTTAATTTCATCCTTATACTTGCAATATGGTTTTGCTGGCTTTATCACTCTATTTAATGTTTAAGTTTTCTTAGCACTTTAAAGAGTCATTCCACTGATTTCAGACTTCCATTATCACTTCCATTTTTACACTTTAATTGTCATCTCTTTACAGGTGATTTGTCTTTTCTCTACCTGTTTTCAAGATCTCTTTGTCTTTCATATTATTTATTTGTCATCTTGCAGCTTAGGCTGGTATTGAGCATTCTTCTACCAATGTAATTTTTTTTCCTTTTGCTATAATCATTTGGGAAATGTTGTTTCTCCTCAGTTTTCATTAGCTTGAATAGCTATGGTGGTTTCATCAACGTACTTTTTTTTTTATTTGTTATGCTTGGTTCTAGATGCATCATATGTATATTTGCAGAAAAAATAGGCTCCTGTATATTGAGATCATCATAAAATAGTTTTTATATGATTACTGTGTCATTAACTTCAAAACAGTTCTATATATGTAATAATAATCCTGATAATAGTAGAGGTATTGAAGTTTGCCTAATCTTTGTTAATCAAAATTGAATACAATGAGAAAAAAATAACACTGCTATATTTGTAAAAAATTTGTAAGGAAAACTTATCAGCTTGAGACTTCAATGTGACTTTAATATATAAACTATATTTCACAGGGATTATTTGTATTCTAAAGTATTTCTGACTTTGACAACTTTAAAATTTCATTTAGTGCTAGGCAGAAAAATGATGTTACAAAAAATTGTAACATCAGTGTCATATATGAAGTACAGATTATAGTCATACTCGTAGCAATTTTATTTCACTATAAATGAAATTCATTGTTCAGCATGGCCTCCTGAACTGTGTTTTCCAGTCAAGTTGTTTTGTAGAAATTAAATTAAATTCATTGCAGGGTACATGCTTTCAGAGATTGTAACAATTCCTATATGTTTGAACTATACAATATATTTTTTTTAGTGTGGGAAAAAGTTCAAAAAGACAGTTTTCCATCTCATTGCACCTTTTCCAAAAAGCTCTCATACCTTACCCACAAGGTTTTATTAAATACAAATTCAAATGAACCTATGTCAGTAAGAAATAATGAAAACACACCTTCAGAAGTCTGCTTTGCTTTTTCAGAGTAGGGACATAAACTGAACTCCCAGGATTACTTAGAGAGTATGCAAAAGTTTGGTAGAATTTGCGTAACTGATGGAATATTAGGAATGCTGAAAAACTGAATGCTATAAGCTTTTGGTTTTGTAGAAAGAATGGTCCCCCTCAACCTCCATGTTCATATCCCTGGAACCTGTAAATATATTAATGTTATGTGGCAAAGGGTTTTACAGATGTAATAAAAAGTTGCTCACCAGCTGTGCTTAAAATAGGGCGATTAACCTGGACTATTCAGGTGGGCCCAATCTAATCACATGGACACTGAAAATTAGAAGAGGAAGGTAGAAGAGCAGTGAGAGAGATGCAACAGAAGAGGGAAGTAGAGGAAAGATTGAAAACACGAGAGAAGCTTGACCTTTCCTTGATGGCCTCGAGGAGGGAGGAGGGGAGTCAAGATCAAAGCAATGAGGGCAGCCTCTAGAAGCTGAGAATGACTGCTGGCCAACAGCTACCAGGAAAATTAGGGCTCCTATGTCTTCATGGAACTCAATCCTGGCAAAAATTTGAATGTCACTTCAAACACATTCTCTTCTAGAATCCAGAAAAGGAACAAAGACCTGCAGACACTTTCATTTTGGCCTTGTGAGACACAGGCAGAGAAACAAGCTGAGATCACCAGATTCTGACTTAAACAACTTTGAGATAATAAATTTGTGTTATTTTAAGCCAGCAAATTTGTGGTAATTTCTTACAGCATCAATAGAACACTCACACAATTGGCAATATTTTATTTTTCAAAGATAAGGGATCTCTGGAAAAGGCAAAAATCTCATCATGCAAAGTAAATAGAAATGATAGGGAAATAATGCACTGAGCACTTTGCTCCAGATGTGCCGTTGTTCCAGATGTAATCGTGAGCAAAAGCAGAAAAGATCCCCGCCTACATGGGTTTACAACTAGTGGGAGTTACAGACTAAAAGCAAATAGAGACATAAATGCAAAGTCACAAGTTACTGTAAAGGCTGATAATTATGTAAATTTTTTTTTGTTGTTTAAACTTTTCATGTAAGGCCTCCTTTCATGGATTAGGTGCCATCATTTAAGTGGAATATCAGTTATTTCTTTAATGATCTGAAATGTTTACATTTTTAGCGGCAAAAGGAGAGAAGACTAAAAAGAAAGAAAATTTGCAAGGAGATCAGAAAAGATTGCTTGCTGTCTTTGCAAAGTTCAGTATCTTAGTGTAATGGGTACAGGCCTAGCCCGCTTTGTACAGTAAGTTGGCTGACGTTTTCCACGATGGTCTTTATTAGTAGTTTAGGAGAGAAACACATTAGAGAATTATGACATCTAACAAGCCTTATAAAATGTTTGTAAAAGTTTTCATTCAGTCAGTCTTAAAACTGAGACTTAATTTTAGTTTTTATATAAATAGTTCGTATATAATCATTTGTATTTTCAGAATTTGAGAATTAATAAAATTTGAATATAGTAAGTGTATGGCACTTACAGTTTATCACTGATAGATGTGATGATGTAAAATGTAGATCGAAGAAAAGACTATAACAATTGTAAATTGATTTTCCCTAGTTAATGGAAACCAAGAGGCAAAAGGAGAGAAGTCTTGAAATAGACTGAAATTACTCTTAACTTTTTTATGTTTGGCTTTAGAAAATGTTATGTTCTAGGTGATGAAACACCTGCATATTGCGAATGCTATATTAGTTATAATTTCTCCTTCATTATATTTTTATTAGTATAAAAATTAAGAAAATTGATATATGAGTATTTTAGTTTTTGATGAGGCACATTTTATTTGAATACCATAATCAAAATAACTAAGAAGCTAGGTATACCTCTTTTTTTCTCTTAATTTCCCCAACTATCCTATGAGAAAGGTAACATTTTCTCCATTTTATGATGAAGAAAGCAAGAAATAGTAACATAGCTATAAACTAGTAATATCAAGCTTGGAACCTGGGTCTGTCTTAACTTCAAAATCAGTGATTTTCCCATGTACCATTCTGCATATCATCAGTTTTTAACATTTGTATTAGAAAAGAAAAAAAAAGTTTGAAACCCAATGGAACAAAAAGTGATACTGAAAAATAAAATGAAAGACTAATTATTTTTAAGAGTTAGTAAAATTGTTAATTCTTTATTTACGTTCAAGACAAGAAGAAGACACACACTAAAAAGATACAAAGGATATATCGAACAAAACATGTCTGTATTTCTGTATAACAATAAATATTTTAAAATTGAATTAACAAAAACTATATAATATCAGGAATTAAAAAGTGGGCATCTTATATGTTCTGCACACATTAAAAAAGCAAGAATGCTAGCAAGGATATAGAGAAAAGGGAACCCTTGTACACTGTTGGTGGGAATATAAATTAGTATAGCTACTATGGAGAACAGTTTGGAGGTTCCTTAAAAAACTGAAAATAGAACTACTATATGATCTAGCAGTCCCACTGCTGGATATATACCCAAAAGAAAGGAAATCATTATATCAAAGAGATATCTGTACTGTGATGTTTATGGCAGCACTGTTCACAATAGCCAAGATTTGGAAGGAACCTATGTGTCCATCAACAGATGAATGGATAAAGAAAATGTGGTACATGTACCTGATGGAGTACTACTCAGCCATGAAAAAGAATGAGATCTTGTCATTTGCAACAACATGAATGGAGCTAGAGAACATTATGTTAAGTGAAATAAGCCAGGCAAAGAAAGACAGACTGCATGTTGTCACTTATTTGTGGGAGCTAAACATTAAAACAATTGAATTCATAGAAATAGAGAGTAGAATGATGGTTACCAGAGGCTGGGAAGGGTAGTGGGTCATAGGGGAAGCGGGGATGGTTAATGGGTACAGAAATACAGTTAGATAGAAAAGATCTAGTTTTTGATAGCACAACGAGGTGATCATAGTCAACAATAATGTATTGTACACTTTTAAAATAACTAAGAGTCTAATTGGATTGTTTGTAACAAAAAGAAAGGATAAATGCTTGAGGTGATGGATACTCCACTTACTCTGATGTGATTATTACACATTGTGTGTTTGCATCAAACTGTGTTATGTACCCCATAAATCTATACACCTACTATGTACCCAGAAAAATTAAAAATATAATTAAAAAGATAAGAATGAATATTAGGAATAGCTATATGTCAATATCTAGTTGCCAAAGAATTTGACAGCTTATATAAAATAGCTAAATTCGTCAAGATACATAAGTTACTGAGCTATCTCAAAAAAATTAGAAAATCTGAGTAGTTCAGTTCTGTATTTACCAAATAAATTGAATTCTTCATTAAAAGTTATCTGATAAGAACATATCAAGCATAAACATTTAAGAAGCAAAAAATAGAGATTCTACTAATTTTTTATAAATGACAAAGAAGAAAATATTACTTAACCTTTTAATGAGGCCAGCATTTCCTGAATAATAAAGCCATACAGATAGATTACAATATAAGAAAACTACAAATTAGTATCTCTCACGAACAGACACAAAATCTTTAACAAAATATCAAGTTGAATTTAGCTTAATATAAAAAGGTTAAATATATTCACATCAAGTCATGGATCCCTGAAATGTGAGGTTGTTTAACAATTGAAAATAAATCAATGCAATTTAACATACTAATGGAGTAAAAGAAAATAAAAACCGATGAGCATAGGGGCGAAAAAGGCATTTAACAGAATTCAACTCTGATTAATATTAAAAATTCTCAGCAAATTAGGAATAGAAGTAGTCTTCCTCAATATGATAAATTGGGAATATGGCAGGAATGCCCACTCTCACCATTGTTATCCATCGTTTTATGTGAGGGTCTAACCCAGGCACAAAAGAAAAAAAAAGTACGAAATATTCACAGGATGATTAAACTGTCTTTATTTGCACATGATACGATTTTGTATGTAGTAAATCTCAAGAGATCTAAAAAGAAGCTGCTAGAACTAATTAGTAAATTCCACAGGTTCACAGGATGAAAGGTCAAATAAAACATCGGAATACAGTAGTCTCCTCTAATCCAGGAAGATACGTTCCAAAACCTCCAGTGGATGCCTGAAACCATGGGCAGTACTGGAATGTACCTATACTATACTATGTTTTTTCCTATAGATACATACCTATATATAGTTTAATTTATAAATTTCCACAGTAAGAGATTAACAACAATAGTTAATAATAAAGTAGAGCAATGCTGCCATAGTCAATTTGATAACTGAGATGGTTACTAAGTGACCAACAGGTGAGTGGCATATTAGCCTGTGTAGCATGAATGCATTGGACAAAGAGATGGTTACTAAGTGACCAACAGGTGAGTGGCATATTAGCCTGTATAGCATGAATGCATTGGACAAAGAGATGATTCACCTACCCTGGAATGGAGCAGGATGGTATGAGATTTCATGCAGAGTTCTTTAAACTCTTTCACCCTACTCCGAACAGTGTATAATTTAGAATGGATGCGTTGTTTATTTCTGAAAATTTTCATGTAATATTTTCAGACTACACTTGACTGCAAGTGACTGCAACCACAGAAAGTGAAACTGCACTAAGGGAGAGCTACTGCATTTGAACTTGCTAGCAATGCAAAGACTGAAAACTGAAATTTAAAATGTGACTTATGACAACATCAAAAATGTCGACTCTTTAGAGTAGAACTTAATGAAAAATATACAAAATCTGAACAATAAAAACTAAAGAAGATCACTGAAAAAAATTAAGAAAGTAAATTAATTGAGAGATATACCATGTTATACATTGGAAAGCATAATATTATTAAAATGAAAATTCTATTCTAAATTCAAAGCAATTTGAATCCAAATCCTGGTAAGATTTTTTTTTTTTTAATTGGCAAACTCATGTCTATGGCAGGGAAAGGGTGATTGGCTAGAAAGTGACACAAGGAAACTTTTTTGGGGTGGTAGAAATATTCTATATCTTGATTGTTATATATAAGCTTGTCAAAACTTATTAAAGTGGCAAATGTTTTATTGTGTGTAAATCATAGCTCAGAGTTGATTTTTAAAAATTGAATATTAGACACCTGTGTTCTTAAACGTTATTTGATTCTTTAGCCACAGCTATGGTAGCAACTCTCACCGACACTAAGTTGAGTAGCTCCTTTCTTGGAGCTTCACTCCTTACTCTCCCTGCTGATTCTCATACTCCACACATCCCTCTTAAACTCATATAGTTTTTTTTTTGCCATGTCTTCTTTTTATGGTCTTCATAAAGATTATGCCTATTGAGTTTTCTCTTTCCAACTCTAAGCAGCTAATCAAAGTATTTCTATAACCTAAAGCAGTTATCGGAGGTCTGGAGCCAGGTGGGAACGAAGATATTTTTGTTGTTGTTTTTGTTTTGTTCTTGTGTTTTATTTTTTATATCCTGATACATGTTTTACTTTTATCTTCTTCCATTTTCTTCTTCACATTTATCTTTCTGTCATAACCACTATAACATTTGAACAAAACTTTTAAAGAGATCCAATCTCCTATTCTAGTCATCACCTTCTTCATTGTATGAACACAAACGTATATACAATTATATTTTACTACAAATTATTGTATAATTTGAAATAGAAGATGCTTGGGGAAACTTATATCAATGACATGAAATCATTCTTTTAATGGTGGTAAAAGTAAGTGGTACGACACTGTAAAGGGAAACCCTCTAATAAAAATAGACTGTAATTACTTTCTCGTGTTTTGACTTAGTACATCTTTATAATATATTAAAATGACTTGGAATTGTTATTGCATTTCACAATACCTACTGTCTAGGGTATATATACTTCTAGGTGAACAGTTTTTAAATATATGCCAAATTTGGTTTTCATTTAATTTCTATTATCAAAAATTTCTTACTGGAAAAATATTATATGACAGTACAATTATAACATACTTGAAAGACTAGTAAAATTATGCTGCTTTTATTTTAAAAGATATATATTTTTGTTATCTAGGCAAGGTACAGAAAAGTATAAGAAAATTGTAGCACCTCTATCTTTTCACATGTAAAACATTTTATCTTTAATTAGAAAGCTCAAAAGCATCTCAGGCAGAATTCTTTAAAAACACTTTTATAGTTGGTGGTTCTTTGAAGAGATACAGAAAGATTAAATTTTGCCAGAAATTATAGATGTAATTCTCATAAGACTTCTCAGTCTCAGGTACATCTTTATTAGCAGTATGAGAACAGACTAAAACATCTAACAAGAATTCATGCATAGATTAACTCATTATATAGTTCTCTTTAATCATTTCCAATTGATTATAAGACCAAACTTATATAAATATTATTTTCTATGTTAATTTTTAGTGTTTTTTTTCTTTGTAATACTATAGTAATATTAAGCAACATGTATCATTGAATAATAGGGCAAAATATCCCAGAGTCAAGTTTCTGCTGTATTCCTACTGATTCAATATAGAACTATACTTTTCTACTTTTTTTTCTTTTTTACTACTACCATTTATACTTGTTTCATTTGGGACAAAAAATATTCAGAAATGACGAAGGAAAGTTTTTTTGGCACTGTATCTTGGTGTCTTAATTCCCTTAGTGATTTTTTCCCATATTCAATATCACAGCATTACTATAGCAAGATAAACACCATATTCAGATCTCTAATAGTGAAATGTTATAAATAATTGGCTAAGGCAATTTGAAAGTGAATCAAGAAACTTTGGTTTAGAAAAAGTAACAAATAGTCTTTTAGTAAAAAGTAGAATTTTTTACACTTAGAAAATATTCCAAACTATGGAGATGTTCTATTATTTTAGACCTAATTTAATGCAATTAAATTTTAATTTTATAAATAAGGAATAGGCCACAGATATAGCATATAATCTTCATTTTTGGCTGATTGATAGATTCTTTTTTGTTGTTGTTGTTGCCTAGGCTGAGTGTTTTTATTTTTATTTGGTTCCAGATACTTTCTGATTTCCTTTTTCTTTTTCTTTTTTTTTTTTTAATTATACTTTAAGTTCTAGGGTACATGTGTACAACGTGCAGGTTTGTTACATATGTATACATGTGCCATGTTGGTGTGCTGCCCCCATTAACTCGTCATTTACATTAGGTATGTCTCCTAATGCTTTCCCTCCCCTCTCCCCCCACCCCATGACTGGCCGCAGTGTGTGATGTTCCGCTTCCTGTGTCCAAGTGTTCGCATTGTTCCCACCTATGAGTGAGAACATGCGGTGTTTGGTTTTTTGTCCTTGTGATAGTTTACTGAGAATGATGGTTTCCAGCTTCATCCACGTCTCTACAAAGGATGTGAACTCATCCTTTTTTATAGCTGCATAGTATTCCATGGGGTATGTGCCACATTTTCTTAATCCAGTCTATCACTGATGGACATTTGGATTGATTCCAAGTCTTTGCTATTGTGAATAGTGCCGCAGTAAACATATATGTGAATGTGCCTTGATAGCAGCATGATTTATAATCCTTTGGGTATATACCCAGTAATGGGATTGCTGGGTCAAATGGTATTTCTAGTTCTAGATCCTTGAGGAATTGCCACACTGTCTTCCACAATGGTTGAACTAGTTTACAGTGCCACCAACAGTGTAAAAGTGTTCCTATTTCTCGAAATCCTCTCCAGCACCTATTGTTTCCTGACTTTTTAATGATCGCCATTCTAACTGGTGTGAGATGTTATCTCATCTTGGTTTTGATTTGCATTTCTCTGATGGCCAGTGATGATGAACATTTTTTCATGTGTCTGTTGGCTGCATAAATGTCTTCTTTGAGAAGTGGCTGTTCATATCCTTTGGCCACTTTTTGATGCGGTTGTTTTTTCTTGTAAATTTGTTTGAGTTCTTTGTAGATTCTGGATATTAGCCCTTTGTCAGATGAGTAGATTGCAAAAATTTTCTCCCATTCTGTAGGTTGCCTGTTCACTCTGATGGTAGTTTCTTTCACTGTGCAGAAGCTCTTTAATTTAATTAGATCCAATTTGTGAATTTTGGCTTTTGTTGCCATTGCTTTTGATGTTTTAGACATGAAGTCCTTGCCCATGCCTATGTCCTGAATGGTATTGCCTAGGTTTTCTTCTAGGGTTTTTATGGTTTTAGGTCTAACATTGAAGTCTTTAATCCATCTTGAATTAATTTTTGTATAAGGTGTAAGGAAGGGATCCAGTTTCAACTTTCTACATATGGCTAGCCGGTTTTCCCAGCACCATTTATTAAATAGGGAATCCTTTCCCCATTTCTTGTTTTTGTCAGGTTTGTCAAAGATCAGATGGTTGTAGATGTGTGATATTATTTCTGATGGCTCTCTTCTGTTCCATTGGTCTATATCTGTGTTTTGGTACCAGTACCATGTGGTTTTGGTTACTGGAGGCTTGTAGTAAAGTTTGAAGTCAGGTAGCATGATGCCTCTAGCTTTCTTCTTTTGGCTTAGGATTGTCTTGGCAATGCAGGCGCTTTTTTCGTTTCACATGAACTTTAAAGTAGTTTTTTTTGAATTCTGTGAAGAAAGTCATTGGTAGCTTGATGGGGATGGCATTGAATGTGTAAATTACCTTGGTCAGTATCGCCATTTTCACAATATTGATTCTTCCTATCCATGAGCATGGAATGTTCTTCCATTTGTTTGTGTCCTCTTTTATTTCGTTGAGCAGTGGTTTGTAGTTCTCCTTGAAGAGGTTCTTCACATCCCTTGTAAGTTGGATTCCTAGGTGTTTTATTCTCTTTGAAGCAATTGTGAATGGGAGTTCACTCATGATATGGCTCTCTGTCTGTTATTGGTGTATAAGAATGCTTGTGATTTTTGCACATTGATTTTGTATCCTGAGACTTTGCTGAAGTTGCTTATCAGCTTAAGGAGATTTTGGGCTGAGATGATGGGCTTTTCTAAATATACAATCATGTCATCTGCAAACAGGGACAATTTGACTTCCTCTTTTCCTAATTGAATACCCTTTATTGATTTCTCCTGCCTGATTGCCCTGGCCAGAACTTCCAACACTATGCTGAATAGGAGTGGTGAGAGAGGGCAACCTGTCTTGTGCCAGTTTTCAAAGGGAATGCTTCCAGTTTTCACCCATTCAGTATGATATTGGCTGTGGGTTTGTTATAAATAGCTCTTATTATTTTAAGATACGGCCTATCAATACCTAATTTCTTGAGAGTTTTTAGCATGAAGGGCTGTTGAATTTTGTCAAAGGCCTCTTCTGCATCTATTGAGATAATCCTGTGGTTTTTTTCTTTGGTTCTGTTTATATGCTGGATTACGTTTATTGATTTGCCTATGTTGAACCAGACTTGCATCCCAGGGATGAAGCCCACTTGATCATGGTGGATAAGCTTTTTGATGTGCTGGTGGATTTGGTTTGCCAGTATTTTATTCATGATTTTTGCATTGATGTTCATCAGGGATATTGGTCTAAAATTCTCTTTTTTTGTTGTGTCTTTTCCAGGCTTTAGTATCAGGATGATGATGGCCTCATAAAATGAGTTAGGGAGGATTTCTTCTTTTTCTATTGATTGGAATAGTTTCAGAAGGATTGGTTATGAGCTCCTTCTTGTACCTCTGGTAGAATTCGGCTGTGAATCCATCTGGTCCTGGACTTTTTTTGGTTGGTAGGCTATTAATTATTGCCTCAATTTCAGAGCCTGTTATTGGTCTATTAAGGGATTCAACTTCTTCCTGGTTTAGTCTTGGGAGGGTGTATGTGTCCAGGAATTTAGCCATTTCTTCTAGATTTTCTAGTTTATTTGCGTAGAGGTGTTTATAGTATTCTCTGATGGTAGTTTGTATTTCTGTGGGATCAGTGGTGATATCTCCTTTATCGTTTTTTATTGCATCTATTTGATTCTTCTCTCTTTTCTTCATTAGTCTTGCTAGCGGTCTATCAATTTTCTTGATCTTTTCAAAAGACCAGCTCCTGGATTCATTGATTTTTTTGAAGGGTTTTTTTGTGTCTCTATCTCCTTCAGTTCTTCTCTGATCTTAGTTATTTCTTGCCTTCTGCTAGCTTTTGAATGTGTTTGCTCTTGCTTCTCTAGTTCTTTTAATTTTGATGTTAGGGTGTCAATTTTAGATCTTTGCCGCTTTCTCTTGTGGGCATTTAGTGCTATAAATTTCCCTCTACCCACTGCTTTAAATGTGTCCCAGAGATTCTGGTATGTTGTGTCTTTGTTCTCGTTGGTTTCAAAGAACATCTTTATTTCTGCCTTCATTTCCTTATGTACCCAGTAGTCATTCAGGAGCAGGTTGTTCAGGTTCCATGTAGTTGAGCAGTTTTGAGTGAGTTTCTTAATCCTGAGTTCTAGTTTGATTGCACTGTGGTCTGAGAGACAGTTTGTTATAATTTCTGTTCTTTTACATTTGCTGAGAAGTGCTTTACTTCCAACTCTGTGGTCAATTTTGGAATAAGTGTGATGTGGTGCTGAGAAGAATGTATATTCTGTTGATTTGGGGTGGAGCATTCTGCAGATGTCTATTAGGTCCACTTGTTGCAGAGCTGAGTTCAATTCCTGGATATCCTTGTTAACTTTCTGTCTCGTTGATCTGTCTAATGTTGACAGTGGGGTGTTAAAGTCTTCCATTATTATTGTGTGGGAGTCTAAGTCTCTTTGTAGGTCTCTAAGGACTTGCTTTATGAACCTGGGTGCTCCTGTATTGGGTGCATATATATTTAAGACAGTTAGCTCTTCTTGTTGAATTGATCCCTTTACCATTATGTAATGGCCTTCTTTGTGTCTTTTGATCTTTGTTGTTTTAAAGTCTGTTTTATCAGAAACTAGGATTGCAACCCCTGCCTTTTTTTGTTTTCCATTTTCTTCATAGATCTTCCTCCATCCCTTTATTTTGAGCCTCTGTGTGTCTCTGCATGTGAGATGGGTGTCCTGAATACAGCACACTGATGGGTCTTGACTCTTTATCCAGTTTGTCAGTCTGTGTCTTTTAATTGGAGCATTTAGCCCATTTACATTTAAGGTTAATATTGTTATGTGTGAATTTGATCCTGTCATTCTGATGTTAGCTGGTTATTTTGCTCGTTATTGATGCAGTTTCTTCCTAGCATCGATGTTCTTTACAGTTCGGCATGTTTTTGCAGTGGCTGGTACCGGTTGTTCCTTTCCATGTTTAGTGCTTCTTTCAGGAGCTCTTTTAGGGCAGGCCTGGTGGTGACAGAATCTCTCAGCATTTGCTTGTCTGTAAAGGATTTTATTTCTCCTTCACTTATGAAGCTTAGTTTGGCTGGATATGAATTTCTAGGTTGAAAATTCTTTTCTTTAAGAACGTTGTATATTGGCCCCCACTCTCTTCTGGCTTGTAGAGTTTCTGCTGAGTTATCCGCTGTTAGTCTGATGGACTTCCATTTGTGGGTAACTCGATCTTTCTCTCTGGCTGCCCTTAATATTTTTTCTTTCATTTGAACTTTGGTGAAACTGACAATTATGTGTCTTGGAGTTGCTCTTGTTGAGGAGTATCTTTGTGGTGGTCTCTGTATGTCCTGAATTTGAATGTTGGCCTGCCTTGCTAGGTTGGGGAAGTTCTCCTGGATAATATCCTGCAGAGTGTTTTCCAGTTTGGTTCCATTCTCCCCATCACTTTCAGGTACACCGATCAGATATAGATTTGGTCTATACATAGTCGTGTATTTCTTGGAGGCTTTGTTCATTTCTTTTTACCCTTTTTTTCTCTAAACTTCTCTTCTCACTTCATTTCATTCATTTGATCTTCAATCACTGATACCCTTTCTTCCAGTTGATCGAATCGGTTACTGAAGCTTGTACATTTGTCATGTAGTTCTCATGCCATGGCTTTCAGTTCCATCAGGTCATTTAAGGACTTCTCTACACTGGTTATTCTAGTTAGCCATTCATCTAATCTTGTTTCAAGGTTTTCAGCTTCTTTGGGTTGGGTTCGACTTTCTTCCTTTACCTCGGAGAAGTTTGATCGTCTGAAGACTTCTTCTCTCAACTCATCAAAACCATTCTCCACCCAGCTTTGTTCCATTGCTGGTGAGGAGCTGTGTTCCTTTGCAGGGGAGGAGGTGCTCTGATTTTTAGAATTTTCGGCTTTTCTACTCTGTTTTTTTCCCCATCTTTGTGGTTTTATCTACCTTTGATCTTTGATGATGGTGACGTTCAGATGGGGTTTTGGTGTGGATGTCCTTTCTGTTTGTTAGTTTTCCTTCTATCAGACAGGACCCTCAGCTGCAGGTCTGTTGGAGTTTGCTGGAGGTCCACTCCAGGCTCTATTTGCCTGGGGATCAGTAGCAGAGGCTGCAGAACAGCGAATATTGCTGAATAGCAAATGTTGCTGCCCGATTGTTCCTCTGGAAGCTTTGTCTCAGAGTAGTACCCAGCCGTGTGAGGTGTCAGTCTGCGCCTACTGGGGGTGCCTCCCAGATAGGCTACTCGGGGGTCAGGGACCCACTTGGGGAGGCAGTCTGTCCATTCCGTGATCTCAAACTCCATGCTGGGAGAACCACTACTCTCTTCAAAGCTGTCAGACAGGGACAGTTAAGTCTGCAGAGGTTCCTGCTGCCTTTTGTTCAGCTATGCCCTGCCCGTAGAGGTGGAGTCTACAGAGGCAGGCAGTCCTCCTTGAGCTAAGGTGGGCTCCACCCAGTACAAGCTTCCTGGCTGCTGTTTACCTACTCAAGCCTCAGCAATGTTGGACGCCCCTCCCCCAGCCTCGCTGCCACCTTGCCATTCGATCTCAGACTGCTGTGCTAGGAATGAGCGAGGCTCCGTGGGCATGGGACCCTCCGAGCCAGGCATGGGACCCTCCGAGCCAGGCATGGGATATAATCTCCTCTTGTGCCCTTTGCTACGACCATTGGAAAAGCACAGTATTAGGGTGGGATTGACCCGATTTTTCAGGTGCTGTCTGTCACCCCTTCCTTTGGCTGGGAAAGGGAATTCCCTGACCCCTTGCGCTTCCCAGGTGAGTCGATGCCTCACCCTGCTTTGGCTTATGCTCGGTGGGCTGCACCCACTGTCCTGTCCCCACTGTCTGACGAACCCCAGCGAGATGAACCCAGTACCTCATTTGGAAATGCAGAAATCACCTGTCTTCTGTGTCGCTCATGCTGGGAGCTGTAGACTGGAGTTGTTCCTATTCGGCCATCTTGGAACCACCCCCCTGATTGATAGATTCTAAAAGCAGAACATTGATAGATAGTAATTTGATATCTCAGTTTGATACTCTATCAGAGATATAATATGAGAAATAAAGTAGAATGGTTAATCCACTATGAATGAAACAACTGAAGAGCAATGATTTTTATCCTAGTTAAAGCAAGTATTAGGGCTCAAAGTATCTAATCTAAAATAATGAAATCTAGAATAGAGAAGTTAACTGAATTTATCTTTTTATGCAACAGAACGGTAGGGATTTATAATACTTCATACATTTGACTGTAAAACCAACCAAGGAGTAGCTTTTATATGAAATAAGAAGGTAAGAAACTGAAAGTTTTTCATTGATTTTGCAATCCTTTTGTCCATTCCCTAGAGCTAATAGAACCAGGTATAGCAACATGGCTGGGAAAATCTTGTGGTGGTCCAGAAAACTGCATTGCTTTTCTTATAGCATAGAGTCTGTATGAGAGATTCCTGATAGGAATTGGAATTTTTGGCTCAATTTTATGCTGCCTGGGAGGCATGCTTAAATTTCCCCTTGGATCAGTTTTTAAAGTCGCATCAGAATAAGACCTTTCTGTCTAATTTAAAGAAAGAGATGATTTTATGGTATAATATTGGCTAAAAATCGACAGAGAAAAAACTGACAAACCTAAACAAGCTGTTGTTGTTACAATTTAAGTATAAGCTATAAGCTGAAGGCCTAACAGTATTCTCTCCTTTAACTAAATAGGAACATCTGTTACTGCATTTTTGTGAAGTTTTTCTTGGATGGATTTTTCAGTACGAAGTGCATTTTAACCATCCTGTAAATATTATTTACTGAGCTCCTGTATAATAGTGATTAATCATCACAACCTAATATATTTGTATAGTACTTAATAGTTTTCAAAGTACTTAAAATCTCTTTTAATTCTTAAAAGAAACTTGTGAGGTAGGCAGCATAGATTGACATTATTATTCTCCTATTACTCCTAAAATTAGTAAACGGAAGGAAACCAGCAAAAAATTGTAGATTTTTGGCATGCACTGCAGTGCTCTTTTAGTTTCACAGTGTTGCTTCTTCAAATCCCACTATACTGAAAAACAGAAGGCAATAGTAATAAAGAACATTTTCTAGTTTTGGAGATTTTTCAGAGATTATCTTTCTGTGATTTATCTATTCAATTTTATTAAAGTACATAGTAGATATTAATGGCTTTAGTGCTTTTTAAGAATATTTGTCTTTCCTATAGGCAATGTCCTTCTGTCCACATTTCCTATTAAAATTTCACCTATCATTCCAATACCATATTAAATGCCACTTCTTCCGAACACTAGACAGATCTCATCAAATGGAACTTTGTTCTCTTTACTGTTCTCCCTAATCCATTCATCTCGCTGTAATATTTTGTTTAGAGAATAGCCTCTTTATAGTTCCTGAGGTTAAAGAATATTTATTTCTAATAAAATTAAAGTAATGGGAGTGGAAAATAAGTTAAAGGAGACAATGAATAGGCAATGGAGGGGAAGCATAATGAGTTGGTTACAAGTACAGACTTTGGAACCAGACTTCCAGAATTGAATCTCAGCTTTGTTACTTATTGGTTGTGTGACCATGGGCAAAGTTATTACCCAATAAATTGTTATTCAATATTGTCATCTGTAAAATTTCATGATACTATTAGTGCCTACCTTATAGGTTTAACTTATAATAATGTTCCTAGTACATTTAAATATATATGTGTAAAAGTACAATTTATGTGTATATACATACATGTAAAATGAATATAGTTAATTCCTTTTAAAAATTTTTACTGAAATACAAACAGCATTCAAAAATTAAAACCATCAATGATATTTTGCATATTTTAAAACAGTAATAATTAGCTGGATGCAGTAGCTCATGCATGTAATCCCAGCACTTTGGGAGGCCGAGGTGGGGAGGTCATGTGAGGTCAGGAGTTCGAGACCAGTCTTGTCAATGTGGTGAAACCCCATCTCTACTAAAAATACAAAAATTAGCTAGGCATGGTGGTGCATACCTGTAATCCCAGGTACCCAGGAGGCTGAGGCAGGAGGATCACTGGAACCTGGGAGGCAGAGGTTGCAATGAGCCAAGACTGTGCCACTGAACTCTAGCCTTGGAGTAAGACTCTGTTTTAAAAATAATAATAATAATCAATACTGATTTCTTTACCATATTGCTCCCACTAGCAATTTTAAAGTCTCTTCCTCTGCTAAAGTTTTAGTGACAGTTTGAGGATTTGTTTTGCTTTGTTGTGAATATTTTAAAATATTGAGGCCAATTTATTCTGTGGCTGGTCCTCCAACTAACAATTTAGACACATTGTGCTTTCATTGCTCTCAAAGTACTAGAATATGAATTTCATAGAGGCAGAGATTGTATCTCTCTTGTTTGCCATTGTACATTCAGTAACCAAGTGTAGTGTTTGGTAAATAGAAGGTGAATAAATAATTGCCTCTGTTTTTATTTTATTTTTATTTATTTATTTATTTTTGCATTTTTTAAAATTATACTTTAATTTCTAGGGATAGCATTAGGAGATTTACCTAATGTAAATGACAAGTTAACGGGTGCAGCACACCAACATGGCACATGTATACATATGTAACAAACCTGCACGTTGTGCACGTGTAGCCTCTGTTTTTATCCTATTCTCTTCACCTTCATCCCTCAGTTAATTTCTCTTTACATTGCAATGCTACTCTCCAAGGGCCATATTTACTTTCCTTCATCTCTTTTTATTATTCCCAGTAATCTACCCTTTCTCTATCATATGCTTTACATTCCTTTCTATTTATGCGCCCTTTTTATCACAACAGGATGGTAAATAGGATAGACTGACTACATTTCAATTTCCGGTAATCAGAATTTAATTCTATTCAAAAGACTATTCATCCAGCTAAAAGACTACAAACCTAGTGGTCAGTCATAGCCAGGTGTAACCATTGCCTGTGTTTGGACATCACTGAGCCGGTCATATGGGAAGACTCCTCAAAGTGGAGACAGACAGCTGGCAGAGGATGCACTTTGCACCTTCCACCTCTTTTTTCTTCTCCCTGGAACCTCAGTAGCCATTTTTACAGTCTTATGTGGTTTTGAGGTTAGAAGATAAGTACTGTGTATTGTGGGAAAGGAGGATGGAAAGGAGATGGGTTCTTCACTAGTGTGGAGCCAACACTATGATCCTATACTGCTGATTTTGTGTGTGTGTGAGAATGAGTTAAAATTCACTTTTCTTCTGGGTTTTCAGATATACTCACCCAAACCTAATCCTAACTGTTAGAGTGAACAAAGTACCACCAAGAGAAAGCAAAAGACAGCAGTGAAGTTGTGGACAACAGCAGGCACCCTGATTTGCATCCTACTCCTTACTGTAAACCTCACCTAACCATTTTAGCAAGAATATAACCATGATATGCTTGGTGTGAGTGAATTTCTTAGGCAAGCCACAAAATGGTACAACCGAGTTGTGGTCAAACTGTTTATTTGTTGGTTTTGACTTGAGGAGGAGGAGTGATGAGGCTGAAGAAAATAAAATGGTTCACTGGGCCATAAAAACAGAATTATAAGGAATTAAGTCCTAAAATTTCCAGAGATGGTAAGAAGGTCCTGTACCCCAGACATTGTGAAATATGGTTTTATGCCAAATTTACTTAAAACTCAAAAGGGTAGGTAATCCACAAAGTAATATAAAGAGAACTGAAGTTACTCCAAGAATAAGTTACAATTACTATATCATACGTAATAGAATACAAATCTTGAGGACTGCTACAAAGTGCTTAATAAGCAAAAGCTTATCTTTAAAGAAATTTTTGTAAATAAAAGACCAGTTTGCTTAAAATGGGAGGAATATAATTACTGAAGGTCCACTGTGGCATTTATTGCAGTCTTTCTGACACACACACACACACACACACACACACACACCCTATATTTTAGAGGCAGAGTCTTGCCATGTTACCCAGGTTGGACTTGAAGCCCTGGGCTCCATAAATCCTCCCTCCTCAGCCTCACAAGTAGCTGGGACTACAGGCATGTATCGTCATGCCAAGCTTTCTGATATTTTTAATAGTTTATTTGTGCCTATCTTTCCTCAATGGGTTGTGAGAAATTTAGGGGTGGGGCATTGTGCTATATTATTCTTCCTTGCATTTCCTACATCACCTTGCAATGCTTAATATTATATAAATGTTTATAAAATTGATGTTTTGGCTTTTTAGTTGAACTTTTCAAAGTATAAATACAGTATAGTAATTTTAGGATAAAATGTGACTATTTTTGCCAACATATTTTCTATTTATTTAAAAGCAGGCTGGGTGTGGTGGCTCATGCCTGTAATCTCAACACTTTGGAAGGCTGAGGTGGGGAGATTACTTGAGCTCATGAGTCTGTGACCTGTCTAGACAATATAGTGAGATTCCAGCTGTTAAAAAGAAAAAACATTTAGCCAGGCATGGGGGCATGCACTTAGCTACTTAAGAGGCTAAGGCAGAAGAATTGCTTGAGCTTAGGAGTTTGAGTCTGCAGCGAGCTATGATTCCACCACTGCACTCCAATCTGGGCAACAGAATAAGACCCTGTCTGTAAAAATAATAATAATAATAATAAATTATACAGTAATTTCAATGTACATATTAGAAATAGCACCAATAATGTAATTTGGTTTTGAATCCAATAAATTCATGATTAAAGGTACAGTCAATTTCTATCATGGAGTTCACTACTGTGTTTTATAAAAAAGAAAATAGGAAAGAATTATTTCTGAAAGGAAATTAAAAGTGAGCTTGAAACTAAGAAAGCATAAAATAGAAAAGGCATATAAAAATGTTTGTTGACGTAATATAAAAGGAGTGATGATACAATTTCATTAATGTAAAATACATAGCTCTTTTTGAATATTGTTGTGTAAGCAACAATTTAAAATTTAAAATTGTTGCCTACACCTGCTACTTCACAATATCAGTTGAGAATAAATTATCTTTAACCTTTCCACCCTTGGATCTAAAAATACAGCAATGGTACAGGCTTCCAAAATGACAAGTTGTCTCTGAATTTCCACCTGTCTCTCTAACATTTTATTTATGTTTATATCCTGTGTTATGTTTAGTAGAAGACAATTGAAAATAGATTAATTTACTTTTGGATGTTTTCTTTTTGATTAAATTTTGAGGTAACAAAGTTGATAATTCTGTTTTTATTTTATTGTTATAATTTTGAGAAGAATTACCAGATAGAACTTTTTCTTGTAGGACTCATGGTCTAAATAAAATTAAATGACTACAAAATAAATATATACTGAGAGGTTATTTGATTAATGTTTTGAAGCTAAGACAGCAAACATTTTACAAAAATTACAATGTAAGCTTATATACAAATACTGTTTTTTGATTTATTGTTTAAATTTTGATAAGCCTTTATTGTTAAAAAAGGATTTATTCTTCCTAAAGTTATCTGCCTAACAAACTCTCTGGTAAAAAGGGTATTGACTGTCAGTATATTCACTATTTACATTAAAAACTGACAGTTCTTAATAATTGTTTTGTATAAACCATTACAAATTGTACAATCATTTCTTAGTCTTGCAACAATAAACATACAATTAAATTTTGATTGATACGATTTCAACATATGTTACACATAGTGAATTTTACTAAAAGTTATTTCTAGAATGCTTACCTGAGAGTAGTCATTCAGATATTAATTATAAATCTTAATGGCATATATCCCAGCTCTCAATTTATTGCCTCTTAGCTCCAAAATTTACCTTTTAATACATGCTCTTCAAATGGACCAAATTCCTTTTAAGAATTTCTCCTTGACAATGAGCATGATGTTGTGTTTTCTCAGCAGAGGGTGCTGAAGGGACATTTCAGGAGGAAGGGGCTCTCCAGTTTCTGGCTGCTGCATGGTGGGTCAGTGGTATGGGTAGTGTGCATCTGCAGCCATCCATTCAGAATGTACAGGCCCTCAGCAATCTCACAGCCCTTTATGGTTCTGGTGATTAGTTTCCTGCTGCCCTTTCAATATAGACCACCACAAGATCAAGCCTACTTTTCCACACTGACACTCTTATTTCTCCCTTTGCACATCCATATCCCAGATCTGTTTCCCATGGTACTCCTGACATAGGCACTTTGTGCTCCAGGGCCTTCTGCCATGCCATGGCTTCTTTCCCTCTGCATGCCCATTTGTCTAGCCCCACTAGCTGTCATTAGTCTGTGCCCCAGCTCCCCATTCCCTCTGCATGTCTGCATACCTTGCTCTGGGCAGTGGCTCACCTCATGGGCAATGTGGGCTCCAAGCCCTCTCCTGCATCGGAAACCCCATTCCTTCTACATGCTCACGTGCCTAGCTATGCTCACCTATGTCCCACCTGTGTCTCCTCTGTGCCCTTCCTGTACTCCAAAAGGATGCTTCCTGCTTGCCCACCAACTACAGACCAGCTCTGGTCTGGGCAAACTGACAAACTTCTTTGTCATCCAGTAGACTGAACTTCACTTTCTCCACAAAGGTCTGAACCCCAACCTTAGGAAGGAGAGTCCCCCTTCCAAGTTTGTCCTTCGTTAGGTACTCTATCTTAGTCCTAGAGCATGGCACAGAGTTTTCTTATATCCTAGAGTTACTCTTTTATCATAGTTTAATAATTCTTCATATTAAACTTTTTCTGTTTAAATCCCCGTGTGCTTCCTATCCCTCTGGATTGACCTGATATTGACATAGTGTGCCTTATTTTATTACCTTGTTATGCCAATAGGATTTGATGACAAATTCCTTGTTCACAAGTACAAGAAATAATGGCAGCATTCAGTATATTCACTTTTCCAAAGTTGAATAATAGAATTTTCCTCAAAACCAAATCTTAAGCTGAACTTTAGAGCACTACTACTATTAGCTTTCCATTCCAAATGTATATATACAGCATGCACTTCTTTCCTGAACTTCAGACTTGTATATCTAAGTGCCTATTAAACATTTTTGTTTGGGTGGTTAATAGGTCTCTCAAAAACACAAATCAAAATACAGACAAAAAGAAAAAAGAGCTTCTAAAAAATCAACTGCCTGACTCATCCCATCCCTGCCTCTTACATCCTGATCTCTGCCTTCCATGTCTCAATAGCGACAATTCCATTCTTCATGTTTCTTAGAACCTTCAGTTTTAGTTCCTCTGGTACTCTCAATCACAAATCCCAGTTCATCAGCAAGTGCTGTGGAATCTATCTTCAAAATACATCCAGATTCCAAGAACTTTTTAGCACTTCTAATGTTAACATTTGGTCTAAAGATCTTAGCTGGATTTCTGCAAGCTAACCAGTATACTTGCTTCTTCCCTTGCTTCTACAGTTCATTCTCATGTTAATTTTTTCTCAAAACCTCTAATAGCATGCAATCTTGTTTAGATTAAAAAAACAAAATCCTTATCCTAGCCTGCAGCTGCCTCTCTGAACTCATTTCCTTCTTTTCTCTCCGCTGCTCATTGCACTCTAGGCACATGGCAGTTCTTTGTGCTTGCCAAATGAGCTTCACCCTGTAATGTTCTTCCTCCAAACATCCACCTGACTCAGTTCTTGATTTCCTTCAGGTCTCTGTTCAGATCTCAGCTTACAGTGAAGCCTTTCCTGATAACTGCACATTTAGAACTCACAGTCCCCTTTACCCTACTTTATTTTATCTGTGGTACTTTTTTCATGTATTTTATTTTATTTTATTTTTTGAGACAGATTATCACTCTGTCGCCTAGGCTGGAGTCCAGTGGCGTGATCTCAGCTCACTGCAACCTCTGCCTCCCAGGTTCAAGCGACTTTCCTGCCTCAGCCTCCTGAGTAGCTGGGATTACAGGCACCTACAACTATGCCCGTGTAATTTTTGTATTTTTAGTAGAGATGGGGTTTTGCCATGTTGACCAGGCTGGGCTCAAACTCCTGACCTACAGTGATCTGCCTGCCTCAGCCTCCCAAAGTGCTGGGATTATAGGCCTGAGTCACCATGCCTGGACTCTTATTTCATATTTTATGTTAATTTATTTATTATTAGTATGCCACCTCCAGAATTTCAACTTTATAATGGCAAGATGTTGTCTGGTTAGTTCATTTCCATATCCTAAAATGGTGCATGGGATGTGGTAGATGCTGTCTATACATATAAATATGTACGTATTCATAAATTTGACATATCTGTGTATTCACATATATATACAGACATATATATGTTTTCATAAATTTGACATGTTCATATATGCATGAGAAACTCTTGTGTTTTCTATATATATATATAAAATAATTGAAACGAAGATGATTTTTTTAATAACTTTTTTTGTGAGGGTAGGCTCCTTTAGTGCTTAAGTATTAGGTCTATTTTATTGTAATAAGGGTACCAGTTGTACTTCAGAAT
This sequence comes from Homo sapiens, assembly GCF_000001405.40. NCBI lineage: Eukaryota > Metazoa > Chordata > Mammalia > Primates > Hominidae > Homo > Homo sapiens. The sequence goes on along the minus strand of NC_000004.12, from coordinate 97,769,533 downwards.
ATCCAAAAATTATATCTGATAATCACAAATTATCTGCTATTTTTTTTACTTTTACTACATAACAAACTAGCCTAGAATTTGGAGGCATGTGTTTATTGCCCTTTTGTCTGGGAAAAGCTGGGGGTTGATGAGGAAGTTCAACTGATCTTGACTGGGCTTGCTCACATGTCTGGGAATCAGCTGGCTGTTGGCTGATTGAAGCCGCCCATTGCTGCAGCAACTGGAACACTTATATGTACTCCATGTGGCTCTCATTCTGTACTAGGTTAACCTGAGTGTGTTCTGTCATTGGCAAAAGTGGAAGAGTGCAAGCTACCTTGTGCATACTGTAAACTAAGTATAAAACTCTAAGTCCCCCAACTGACTGAACAAACCATCTCTTGGCCATAGAGACCCCAGAGTAACCTTGGAAACTGAGTTCTCAGCCATGTCAGGATAGGAGGTTGGACACACCTCATTCCCTCTCTGCAGCTTTGCAGCTTTGCTAACTGCTGTTAGGCTTTCTTCTCTAAAGGCTAAACAGAAACTAGCCCTTTCAAATAATGCCACCACTGTTATCAACCAACTGCCTGACACTGCCCCTCCTTTTTTGCCTGGTAAGAGACCACCATCGAGACCAGCCTGGCTAACGTGGTGAAACCCCATCTCTACTTAAGATACAAAAATTAGCTGGGCATGATGGCACATGCCTGTAGTCCTAGCTACTCTGGAGGCTGAGGCAGGGGAATTGCTCGAACTCGGGAGGTGGAGATTGCAGTGAGCTGAGATCGTGCCACTACATTCCAGCCTGGGTGGCAGAGCAAGACTCCTTCTTGGGAAAAAAAAAAAAGAGAGACCACCAAACTATGGAGTGGTTCTGGCCAGTCTATGAGAATGTGCAGTAAAGGTTTAATGTCCTTTATTTTACCTTTTGACATCAGAGGGCCAAAAACTACACCTTCCTATTACTGCCAGTTTTGAACATGGAGAAGCATGAAGCACAATTGCACATGTGCACGTTTCTCCTTTCATAAATATTCATGACTCCTCCTATACCTTATTAAATAAGTATATGTGGCCACCCCACTCAGCATAAATTCCTGTTCCCTTTGCCCACCACTGTCTCCCAATAAAATATTTGTTTCTGGCTTCTGGCCAGAGGCTATGCTTCTCAGCTTGTCAGAATGGCCACCTTGCAGGCTGTAACACTATAAAAAATAAAGTCTCCTTTTCTCTTTTTTCTAAATTTATAAATTGGATTTTATTTAAGTTAACAATATCCACCCATTTTAAGTCTTTGCATTGTGTCTTTAAATTCTCATTGGCCTGGCAAGTCATTTGCATGAACCTAGTATCAAGAGGTTAACTCTTATGTTTTTTTTTTTTTTGAGACGGAGTCTCGCTCTGTTGCCCAGGCTGGAGTGCAGTGGCGTGATCTCGGCTCACTGCAAGATCCGCCTCCTGGGTTCACGACATTCTCCTGCCTCAGCTTCCCGAGTAACTGGGACTACAGACGCCCGCCACCACGCCCGCTAATTTTTTTGTGTTTTTAGTAGAGACGGGGTTTCACCATGTTGGCCAGGATGACCTCAATCTCCTGACCTGGTGATCTGCCCGCCTTGGCCTCCCAAAGTGCTGGGATTACAGGCGTGAGCCATCGTGCCTGGCCAACTCTATGTTTTATCTTCATTATTTCAGATTTTCTCTTCTCATCTCTTGACTCTTAACCTCTGTTAAGTTTCAATCAATTTTTGTTTTCTCAAAAATGCCAGATTGTTAGGAAAAAGCCAAATCAAACACTAATTTTTGTGTGGGCTTATCATATATATAATATGGATAAACTGATTAAAATAACACATTCAAATACTCATTAAGTAATGCAGTCTTCTAATTTAGAAGACAAAACGAATCATTATTTTTATTAAAAATTGCTTCCAAAATTGCAATTTTATGAATGCCAAATATGAATAACAAACTGCACAGAAACATAAATTATGTAATATTTATTTCCTCCCTTCCCTTTGTAATTAAGTACAGCAAATTGTATTTATATTGTAAAATTTAAACTCTAATAGAAGCCAGTTTATTATTAAAACATGCCACCATGTTTAATTGTCAGAGAGATTCAGACTCTCTGTATTATTGTTTCCTATCAAGTGAAATCCATTTTGTTGAGGATAAATGGTAAAAATCTTTAAAAAATTAGCAAGGATGGGACAAAATGAAATCAAATCTTCCCTGTTTCAGTGACTGCACTTCTTCATGGGGTTGTTATAAATATAAAATGAAGGAGCTGATTAAACAAACACATTGTATTTGGTATTTAATCAACATTTTGGTAGAAGAGAAAAATAAACATAATTGGTAATGGGATAGACACTATAAAGCTTCTTTCTCAAATTATCAACAACTGAGTTTCATTTGCCTTTTAAGTCATAAAATAACTGTGACTTCTAAATTTGATGCCAAAAAGTTTTCTTATGACTCATCAAAAATTGCTTGTGTTGCTTATGTTGAATATTTTGAAATTTTAGACATATAGAAAATCTTGTTCAGATTTTAAAAATACTGATTCTTTTAGTTATTTTAAATTCATTATTGGGATTTAATAAATGTTTACTTATTTAGTGGTTGTACACTACCTGCTTGAAAAAATAAATTACAGTGGGTGATACAATTAAGCATATGTTACAATAACTAAAAATTAAATATAATAAAATTAATTAGAAGAGATAGAGGAAACAGATGCTGGCAGCCACAGTTTGTATGTTAATTTTTAAGATGACATTGAATTTATTTATTTGACAAAAACAAAAGCAAAATAAAACTTACTAAAGAGTTATTTTTCTCATAAAAGCAAGCATGAAAATTCTTCTGAAGATGTGATTCATTGATTTTTAATTAAAGATTGGCTTATCTTGCTATTAAAACTCTTTAGTTTTACAAATCCTATATTGGGTGGAAAAATTAATATTACTCAAATGTCCCATTAGTTGTTATGATAAGGCCTACAAATACACATAGACTGTAGATAGATAAGTAGAAATTATGTTGGGCTCACATGCAATAGACGATCATTTCATAAATCTTTGTGTACTCATTAGTATTTTTATTTTTGAATAATGTTTGGGATAAAAGGAATTTTATATTTATTATACCCTATTTTATTTTAAATGTTTAAATCTTTGGGAATAACATGTTTCTCAATATTTGATTGCCACATCCAGTCTGAGACTTAATTTTTGAAGCCTCTGACTTAAAAAGAAATCCTTTCCTCCGTTTGCCAATTACTATTCACAATGGTTGAACAAGAACAGAATGAAAGAAGAAAACCAAGACATAAAGGACAGTTGGTCTATAGGACATGGGGAAAGTCTTTGGTACTTTGTTATAAATTTTGTGCTTTGTTTTAAATAGAGATCATATTAGTTTATTGACCCAACCAATATTTGAATCCTCTTAAACCATCCCTGACTAAATATATTGAGCTATCAGTACCTCCCAATATCAGTAAACCCTTTAAAGCATCCTACAACTTCCAATTTCATCTTTGACCACCTCTGCAAGTTAGAAAGTTCCCTCTAATATTGAGCTCACATAGATTTCCCTAAAGCTTCCAGTAATTGGGTCTAATTTGACATGATAAGAATACTCAGAACAGTTCTCTTACTCTTATATTTGCCCACTCATTAAATATTTAAAGGGTATTACAATGTCTCCACATCTGTTATTTGACAAATAGAACATCCCAGTTCCTTCAACTATTCCTAATATGAAGTTCAAAGTCTTTAATTGTTCAGGTTGTCTGACTCTGAATTAGTTTGTTTGTATGCATTAGTCAGTTTTCTCTAAGCATTGCTGTAGTAGTAAAAACCCCATAATCTTAGTGGTTACAACAATATTTATTCTCATTCACATAAAACATCAGCTATTGGTTTGTTGAAGTTCTTCTCCATATATCTTCATTTTAGGACTCAGTTGGAAGGAGTACCCCCTAAGTTATGCCAATCTAACAGAAGGAAAAAGTGCAAAATTTGTTGAGGAAGGGCATAAATCACTTTTACATATTTTTTAAGCTAAAGCAAATCACATGTCCAAATCTATCATTGATGGGGTGGGAAAATATAAACCTCCCACTGGGATTTACTGTCACATATCAAGTTAAGACATCTACAAGCCTCTTATAGGGAGGACAGCACATAATTAGGAATAATAATGCAATTGTGAACAGCCTCAAAACATGCCCTATCTTTCTCAGTATATCACTTAAAGTGGAGTTTCCTGGATTGAACAGTACACCAAGAGTGTTCTGAGCAGTTCTGAGTAGAATGTGCCTATTATTATTTTTGTTCTACATTCTGCATTATTCAGTCCAAGATTTTAACATCTCTTCAGCAATTGTATTGAATATATCTGTTACTGATCATGGCTAATCCTCATGACCATTCCAAAAAATATTCCTGTATTATACACCAGGTAATTTTATGTTAGCTACATCCTCCATGCTAAGTCAATTGAACACAAACATAGTACCCACTGAGAATTATAATAGAGTATCAGCACTTATAATATTGATATTAAAACTAACTTCAAAACTATGATGGGGCCCTGCATAGTCATTCTGTATGGAGGAGGTTCTAGCACCCCTTTTTCTGGATTCAGCTATGTCTAGGATGCAAAGAAAAAGAAAGTAATGCTTTTCCAATGCCATGTCCTTTGTTGCTGGCTGAGACTCCATGGAATTTAGATTCTGTCCATCATATGAATTAAATAACATACTCTTTCTCTTGTGGGGAGGAATAAGGGAAAGGGTAGAAAGAAAAAAACAGAAATATTTCTTACTATTTTGGTAAAAAAATCCTGTCACCAACTTTTAAACATATATATACTTTTAATTACTCCACCCTCTTCTTGTATAATTGTTTCTTTGGTTTAAACTGGGGGATCTAAAATTTATCTCTGCTGCATTTCATTTGTTGTAGGTTACCTCTCTAATCTGTGAAGGTTATTTTGATTACTAATTCTCTCATCTAACATATTCTCATCTTTCCAGCCTTGTATCCTTTAACCTTCAGAAAACAATTTTTATGCTGCATTTCCTTAGTAATAGACACTATGCTGAGTGTATCAAATACAATAGTGCACGAAATTCATATAGCCCCAACCTAATGTATCTTATAGCTTAAAGGGGAACATCAGCTATTATACAAATATTTTCTAATTGCAAACTGAAGTAAGTGCTGTAAATAAAAAACAAGGTGTGCTGTGAGAGTGTATAAGATGGAATCTGTTCTAGTCTTGAGGTTAAGGTGGTCCACCCTAGGCAAGTTCCATTTGAGTTGAGGACTCTAAAAGTAAGTTCACTCTGCATGTGCATGTGCCTATGTGTGTGTGTGTGTCTGTCTGTGCCTCTGTGTGTGTGTGTGTGTGTGTGTGTGTGTGCATGTGGTGTTGTGGAGGTTGGATTTGAAGAGGGATCCAAGCAGAAGCTCTACCATGTTCTGTGATTCTGAGCATGGAATTCAAATAACTAAAAAAGGCACATGTGGCTAAAATAGGGAGGGGTTAGGAAAGTGGTGCAAGATGAGGATAGAGAAATGAACTTGGGTCAAATTTTGTAGGCCTTGAAGACCATATTAAGGATGTTTCATGATCATCATTATGCAATAAAAATGTGGCTGATATTATCATCTTAGAGTTAAGAAATGTTGAAACCAGCAATGTCAAGAAAAATCAATAGAAATATCCATACTGATTGCTATTGATAAGTAATCAGCAACATTTGCATAATATCACATGGAATGAATTCCCCTTGCTGGTAGGGCTGGTCATAGTTTCCCTCCATGGGCCTGGAGTCTCAGGAGGGAATGCCTCTCTCTAGAATGCCAGAAATGTCTTCATTAGGGGAACAAGACCCCAAAATAAATTGTGAAGCTGTGTTCTGTTAATGATGCCCGGACAATAGGCATAAAATAAGACTATCCTGGCCAAACTGGAATATTTGGTCCCTACTTGTAGGTTCTCTATTTGCCTTAGTTACATGTCACCTATCATAGAAATTTGTGCTGAAATCCAGTAAACTAAATACTAGAAACATGTTGGATGAATTGATATTTAAATATGCTCACAAACTTTAAAATCCTTCCTGCTAGATTTAAATTGTTTCTTGTTTTGTAGACTTCTAGCTTATTTTTGTGTGTAACATCATTAGTCTCTTCTGTTTTAGAATCCAAGGTGCAAGGTTAGGGCAGCATGCTTAAATTGACTACTTACCACCTTTATGCTACACAAGTAACTAACACTATATAGACAACTGTATGCTGGGCTTTATTTCATACTGATCATGGCTAATCCTCATGACCATTCCAAAAAATATTCCTGTATTATGCACCAGGTAATTATATGTTAGCTACATCCTCCATGCTAAGTCAATTGAACACAAACATAGTACCCACTGAGAATTATAGTAGAGTATCAGCACTTATAATACAAAACAAATTTGTCTTCTTTTAATCCACTGTATTTGTGGTAGTTTGTTACGGCAACAATGGGAAACAGAGGTATGTTAAGATTTGTATCCAAAATATAACGTAGATTATTTTATATTCTGAAGGTCAAATTGAAAGAACGTTAGGGAAGATTTAATCAGGAAGCTTTAAATATCAGAGAAAGGAGATATAGTGACATTTATGCAAACACTATAACTGATTATTCCTCTTTTTTAGCCATATAATTTTAGGAATAATATCTTTTCATAATCTGATAGTAATATCTCAGGAAATGAAAATATTTCACAAGAAATCAAAGCATTCTTGAATGACTTATTTTATTGTTTTGAAGCTTTTTTTGCTTCTAATTTGGAATACTTGAAGTTAGTGTGGAATACTTTCCAAATATCAGAGAGGCAATAGCTTTGATTTTCTTTTCCATTGCTGTTGTAAAATAAGATTTTCTCCCTGTATGTTTTCCCCTGAGGCATTTTTAGCTACATGTGTCCCATAATTGAAGTAAGTGTGCATATTTGTTAATGGTGCGCACATCTCTAAGGCAAATGGGATTCTTTTCATAGGGAGGAAGCATCCTGTTAGGCCAAAAACTCTCATTCTTTTAACTGTCCCCATGAACATTCTCCTGTCCCTTCTGTTATCAGCTACTAGTTGTGTGGGCAGAACAGGTCTGAGTCTAATGTTCCCGTAAAGATTGGTCACTAGGGAACAGCACAGAGTGTGCCTTATCTCAAAAGACAAATGTGTTAATCCTGCTCTATTAAGAAAGGAAAAAGATAAATCTGACAGAACAAAAAGATGGAAAATGAGTCATTTTGCTTCTGTGAGGTTAAAAGATCTTTGGAAATATATATTTCTTTCAAAATAAGGAAAAGGAAAGAACTCCTGCCACTTTTAAAAGTATTGTTTGACATTAGCTTCACTGATACAAATTTAGAGACGACTTTAAAACCTCCAAAAATAGAAAGCAGAATCTTTTCTTTTCCTTTCTGAAAACTCAAGGACACTGAGCTGGCATAGATTTTTTTTTCCCAGTTCACTTAGGCTCTGCCATAGTGACTAGTCTATGCTTCAGCTATGCATTTTCCATTTAAATCCCATGTTTGCCTAAACTGAACTTAAAATAGCCACACATATGAGGTAAGCACTTAACATAATAGTAAATCAGCAAAAAAAGCTGTGGTTGAAAATTGTTGCTAAGTGATCTGGAATACTTAATAGAAGTTCCAGGAAGATAAAAGCCTCAGGACAGTATGTAAATTAAAAGGAAAAAAGATCATCATTTCCATTTCTTCAGAAAGAGATTTATCTTGTTCTTTCTTAATTAGAGGGCAAAAGTCCTCTATTTTTATCACTTCTCCCACTGACTATGGCAGGCAGAAGAATAGCTTCCCAAGATATCCATGTTCTAATCCTCAGAACCTGTGAATATGTGTTATATGGTGTATTGGTTTGCCAGGGCTGCCATAACTAAGTACCATAAGCTGGGTGGCTTAAATCAACAGAAATTTATTGTCTCACAATTCAGGAGGCAAGAAGTCTTCAACCAAGATATTGGCAAAGCTTTGGTCACTCCGAAACCTATAGGAGAGAATCCTTCCTTTCTTCTTCTAGCTTCTGTTGTTTGTTGGTTATCCTTGGTGTTTCTAGGTGCATCAATCTCATCTCTGCCTCCATCATCACATGGCCATCTTCCCTCTGTACGTTTGTGTCTTCCTTTCTCTGTGTCTTCTTTTATTGTAAGAACACCAGTCATATTGGATTAAGGGCCTGTCTTACCCCACTGTAAGCTCATCTTAACTAATAACATCTGCAATAAATCTATTTCCAAATAAGGTACATTCTGAAGTACTGTGAGTTGGAATTTCAAGGTATTTTTTTGGGGGGCACAATTCAACCTGTAATATAAGGCAAGGGATAATTAAAGTTGCAGGTTGCTAATTGGTTGACTATGAGATGGGGAGATTATCTTCAACTATTGGAGTGAGTTTGATGTAGTCTCATAGGTTTTTATAAGTGAAAGAGGAAAGAAGCAGAGTCAGAGCCAGAGTGATGCATTGTGAGAAAGACTCAACCTGCCACTGCTGGCTTTGAAGACTGATGGGGGCCAGTAGCCCAGGAATGTGGGTGATTTCTAGAAGCTGGAAAAGGCATGGCATGGATGCTGTCCTAGAGCCTCCTGAAAGAAATGCAGCCTTGCAGTCATCCATATTTTAGCCCATTAAGACCCATTTCCATTTCTGACCTCCAAAGCTGTAAGATAACAAATTTGTCTTGTTTTAAGCCACTATATTTGTGGTAGTTTGTTACAGCAGCAATGGGAAACTAGCATACTGACCCTTGCTCAGAGGTATGCACATAGACAGTAAGGATTTGAGTTACAGTATCTTCTCTTCCAAGATGACCTTCTTTAGATGCTTAGTATTATATTTCCTTTCTGATTCTCATCTGTTTCCATTTCTAACTTATTAACCACAGAATTATTGACTTGTAGGGTTGGATGGAATTTTAAAGACTATATATTTCAACCTACTGTTTTAAGCTTGTGGCTTCTCTATATAATCCTTGAGAGATTATCATATTTCAACTTGTGTATTGTATAAACTGAAATTTACCTTTTCATGAGAATTATATATATCCAGATATGATCTTGCCTTGGCTCATTTACTTACCAGAATAAAGGTACTTATAGCACAGTGGTTCACTTATTTAAAAACATTTACTGAACATATACCTAGAGCTAGATTCTGGGAAGGGTATGGAAGGTAGGGTGGATATGTAAAATCTAAACCACAGTTCTTGTCCTTGATCTTTTAGTCCAGTGGGGAAATCTGAACTTCAGCAGCTGGAGCTATTGTGATAAATTTGCTGATAAAATAAATTGTGAAAAAAGCTTTAGGAGTAGTACATTCTATTTAGATGTGCGAAAATCAATAGATTAACATGAAAGAATTTCCTGTTTGAGCGATAGCCCATAATATAATATGGTAAGTGGTGGTGAGAGTGGCAGAAGATTATACTATAACTATATTGGCTTATGAATGATCTTGGTGTGCCATGAGAGGCTGTAAATAAGGAAGTGACACAGTCTGATTCATACTTGAGGAAACTTATGTTAATTTTAAGAATAGATTGGAAAGAGGAACAGTGGAAGCAGATTAATAGTTAGGAAGCTCTTGCAGTAGTTCAGTTGCCTATAATTCCTAGAGTCTCCAAAACTGGCATCTCTAAAACTCTCTGGCTTATTATAGGTAGAAAAAGGAATGCCGCCTCCTTCCTTAGGATGCACTTTTAGACTGCACCTGAAACTCCAGCAAACAAGTATTTTGCTGGCCACCTTAAATATTTTTTATATTTCCTATGAGTACCTAATTTTTTCAGTTTTATATGAATTCCCCAAATATTACCACCTGGGAATTGCTAAATCCTCCAACCTTCTTTTCTACATACATTGAAACATCCAACCCCTTACTTCCTGACCTTGCAATATTGCTAAAAGTTCTTGATGGCTTACATTCTTTCTGACCACCTCTTGTTTTAATTTCCTCTTTCTGTTCAATTCTTAATATCTCACCACCTGGATTATTTTTTCTTCCCTCTATTAAATTGGTTAAAACATAGAATTTAACTCTCTTTTCCTTCAGTTCTCTCAAAGTACCTTATACAGCAGAATTTACTAAAGATGGATGGTAAAAAGAAGGGGGATTATTTCAGAGACAAGTGACAATGTTATTTTTTTTTCTGAGCCCTGCGTTGTGGGAAAGCAGTGCAAGTTAAGATGTCCTCCCAATTTTTGTGTTCAGAATAAAGGCTAGTGGCAAAGTACCACCACACTGCCCTTACATACTCTAACACCAGTCTCCATTCTTTCTCATGACTCCCATAAGACTTGTGGATGACTTTGTTTGCCTGCCTCTATAAAACTTCTGGCACCCTTCCTTTTCTTTGAGACTTCCCTCACTAATGACATCATCTCTGTAATAACTTGAATAAAACATCTCATTATTTGTTCAGTGCATTTTGTCTTTCTCATCAGCAAGAATTTAATATAAATATTATACGTTCATTTTTTTTCTGTCTTTTGCAGGGCTTCCCTGGCATCTTTATTATCCCCAGCTTCCTGCCATCTTGCTAAATTCTTTTTTTTTCTGTTTTTCCATCTAAAATTTCCTTGTGTCTTTAATTATTGGGTTCTTTACCCTTTTCATATCTGAAATGCCAGAACAAAATAAAACCAAATGTCTGTCATTTTTTTAAAATTTTACTTTAAGTTCTGGGATACATGTGAAGAATGTACTGGTTTCTTACATAGGTTTACATGTGCCATGGTGGTTTGCTGCACCTGTCAACCCATCATCTAGGTTTTAAGCCCTGCATGGATTAGGTATTTGTCCTAATGCTCTCCGTCCCCTCTCCCCGCACCCCCCTGACAGGCCCTGATGTGTGATATTCCCCTCCCTGTGTCCATTGGTTTTCATTGTTCAGCTCCCACTTATGAGTGAGAACATGCGGTGCTTGGTTTTCTGTTCCTGTGTTAATTTGCTGAGGATAATGTTTTCCAGCTTCATCCATGTCCCTGCAAAGAACATGAACTGATTCTTTTTTATGACTGCATAGCATTCCATGGTGTATATGTGCCACATTTTCCTTATCCAGCCTATCATTGATGGGCATTTGGGTTGGTTCCAAGTCTTTGCTATTGTAAATAGTGCTGCAATAAACATACATGTGCATGTGTCTTTATAGTAGAATGATTTTTATAAATGTCTGTTATTTTATAAGAGTCCTTTTGCTCCTCCCACTTTCCCTTTCCCTTTTCTTTTACACATTCCTTGCAGAATGCCCTCTAGGGCCTTTCTATTCTTACATAAATGGCCCCTTAAGGTACTTTAATAAACAAAAATTATTTTTCCTGAAATACCTGTCACTACCTCTTAATATACCATTTTTATTCCAATTAAAAGACTGTAGGCCAGTAATTCAGAAACCCCTAGAGCCTAGACTAACACCTTCAAATTATGTAGGAAAATAATAACCATAATAATTTTAATTAAAATTGTTTAGTATTCTACAATTTATCTCATTTAGCAACATTTACAAGCAACTTTGTAAAGCAGAAATTTCATTCATTGTAGGTGGCTAAGTTTCAGAAAGCTTAAGTGTCTTTCTCTAATTTTGTATGGTAAATTGGGGCTAGTATAGGACCAATGATACAGTCACACATTTTAACCTCACAACTTATTCAAGCTATTGTCTATCTACAACTCTATTAAATATGTACAAGAAAATGACAAAGAAAACATACACCATACAGAAACAGGATGAACTTACTGACCGTTAATAATGCATGAATATATTTGTTTGGAAACTTGATATTTTTGAGCTAGTGGAGGTTTTAGTGTATTTGTATATTAGAGGTGGTTAATATTAATCAGAAGAAGATCTATTGTTTTGTGTTACGGATATATATTCAGATTAGGAGTAAAAATAGAAAGTGTTAATTCATTCAATTCTGGAATGCATTGAGTGACCTAAAGAAGATTTCAAGGACTTTGCAAAGTGTTTATACTTTCTTGTGACCAGAAACCTGAGTTAAGACCATATTGCACTTGAGACTCAATCTCATGGAACAGAGCGTTCACCTAATTGTTAATCACAGTATCTCATCTTGGTGTTAGTGATAATAAAATGAGAAAATGCATTTGTGGTTGAAGTAAGCTTAATTAGAAGAGCTGCTCGTGATCTAATTAACTTTATATGGGGGGAAGGTCTGGGAGGCATTTGCAAAGGGTTTTGGTTATAAAGAACAGATGAAAAGGATGAGATAATGAGGAGATGGACTTGAATTGTAAATAAGAGGGACCATACCAAGTTTTCAACTTCATGGGCAATACGTGTAATATGGCTGTCATCAGTGTAAATACAGAAAATATCTATGAATTCATATTTCTCGTATCTTTCATCTGGTGTTTTTACTGCTTGAAGGGAAGTTCAGGGGGCTTTAAATGATAGAGTGCCTTCTTACAGTGCCTCTTACACATGATTGGTGTAGGGTACAATCTACAGTTGTAGCTTGCTGCCTTGATTATTTTTCTGCAACTTGCTGATAGCAAAGAGGGGTGCATCTACCAAAAGAGAATAAGATAACAAAAGAGGGAGTCAAAGTGATGAGCACATAGAAATTTAAGCAGATATATGTGAAACATTCTTAAATATGTTTTACCTTTTTACCACCGAAATCAGTGGCCTGCAATCAGTTTTTTTTTTCCATTGAAATAAAAAGGAAGAAAATAGAAATAATAGAAATGCTCCTATGCTTCTTGGAGTGATAGGAGGGGACAAGTAATTGAGGGAGTTCTTGCTAAAAGACACTAATTTCCCCCTTGAAGTAGCAGGCAAAATCATTTGTTGAAACTACAGGGAGGCCGGGCACGGTGGCTCACGCCTGTAATAGCAGCACTTTGGGAGGCCAAGGCAGGTGGATCACCTGAGGTCAGGAGTTGGAGACCAGCCTGGCCAACATGGTGCAACCCCATCTCTACTAAAAAAATACAAAAAAATTAGCCGGGCATGGTGGCGGGCACCTGTAATCCCAGCTACTTGGGTGGCTTAGGCAGGAGAATCGCTTGAACCCAGGAGGTGGAGGTTTCAGTGAGCCAAGATTGTGCCATTGCACTCCAGCTTGGGCAACAAGAGCAAGACTCCATCTCAAAAAACAAAACAAAATAAAACAAAAACAAAACAAAACTACAGGGAATTGGGATAATTTATTAAGAAACGCAATCTCATTTTTTCTCTTTCAATAATTTTGTTTATCTAATGGTTTCTCAACAACAAAACATCATAATGTACCAAGGTAGAAGATGTCATTGAGTGACTCATTGATGTCCTTCAACAAGTAGAAAAATTTGGAATAATTCTAGTTGGGGGGAGGAACAAGAGAAAGAGAGGAAAACAACAGAGAGAGAGAGAAAGAGAGAGAGAGAAGAAGGGAGGGGGAGAGTTAGAAACAATCAGAAAGATAGATAATTTTGATTGGTCCAATCGGAAGCATAAAACCTGAATTTGAAGGGCTTATCTATGTCATGGTGCCAGCTTTTTGTCACTCCTCTGACCTGCTAGTGCCATGAATATTTATTCTAACTCTTTAGAGAATTTTTCATCAGGCTGTCTTTCCTAAGACTTCTATCCAAGGACTTTTTAAAATTCAAAACCAAAGAACATGGAATAGATACAGGAACCCATAAAATAACATGAATTTTGCACATCTTTCATAGAGGGTCATCTTCTAAGAAAATAAACTTAGAGAGAGCTTTTGATCAGTCTGTAGCGTATTCAGGGAGCCCAATAAATACAACTTAATATAAAGGTTTAGCTCATTTCTTTAAGAAAGTATTGGTCAAATTTGGGTATGCACACAATTGACAGTCTATTCTTGAGAGCCAGATAGTTTATAAACATATCAAATAAAGTTGAAGAGAAATGAAGGCAGTATGAAGTACATCTTTGCTTTTTTTCTTAAAGAAATTGGCAATTTATAGTCCTAGAGAGAAGAAAATGAAGGATGTCTGTGGAAAATAAGCATATGTGAGTGTAATTAAAGGTAACTCAGTTGCAGAACATGGATGAATTCTTACAATAGAAAATAATACTAGAGCTTGCAAAAGAGCACAGTTTTCCCTCTTTGAACCAGGGTTGCTTTCTATGAATGAGTAATTCAGGTTGAATGTTTTTCAGAGTTTTACATGTTAGACTCTGCTTGCAGTTACAAGTATATTGTTAGTGGGCATGCTTGAATTTCTGATAGACATGGCTAACCATTATCTGCTAGATTTTGAAATATTTTATATCTGACAAAATATAATTAAAGATGCCTGTTTATTAGTTATTTATTAGAGAAATGAAGCCGATAAATGCGAGAAAGTATGCTCTTCCCTCCTCCAAACTTACCACAAAAGGATTTTGTTGAAGTTTGAAGATAAGCAGAAAACTTGATTTAAGTTTATTTTCTGTTTTTGTTTTTTTGCTTTATTTGACCTCGTTAACCTTAGTCATCCATTCACCAGAGTGGTGTTTTGAAAACTGTGGTCAGCAAAATTATTCAGAATTTATTTCTGTGTCATGGTTGTGGTTCGTAGGTTTCTAGGATGGCCTCAATGATTTCCACCTCCTGATATTTAAGGCCTTGCATAATCCCTTATTCTTAACTGTGAATATGAGGTATGTGCAGATGCTGGTAGTTGGGCAGATGGCAGTGGAGGTCTGTAGAAATCTCCTCAGATTGCCTCAATTTTTTTGACAAGATAGGAAGTACTGTAATTGGCTGAGAGTGGTGATTTATGGGGTGAGAAGAGAGAAATTGTGAAATAGTCATTTAGGAGAGTGGGCATCTACATAGACCAGACAGATAAGTATAATTGACTAACAACATTTGGAGTTCATAGAAGTGGGAGTTAGCTACCTGAGTATGGGGATTCAGACTCTCATGCAAAATTTAACTCCAAGACTGCTAAAACACATAATTATAACAAATTTAGTTCAAATACCTTAATAGACTTTTATTTGCAATTCTAGAATCCAGCAACATCTTATTCTATAAAATAGAATGAGTGTTCTGATGAGCTGAGCATAGGAGCTTGGCTTTATAGACAGAAAAATGCTGAGGAAAGCAGCAACAAAAAACAAAAGCGGATTGGGCATTACAGAGTTTTCCTTGGAAAGATTATAGCAGAGTAGACTTTCTTAGCATTCCAGCTAAAACAGGGACTGTTTGAGGATTTGGCTGTTATCTCTTTCAATTTCTTGGAAGCTCAGATAAACCACTCAGTTTTAGCTTGGTGGTGTGGAACTTCTGCATGAGAAACTCCATTTTGGTTTGGTTTATTGAACCTAGTGCAAGAGCTCAGTCCAAACCAATGGCCTCCTATAAAGTTTATTCAAGACCTAAACTTAGTTAAAAAATATAAAATTATTAGAAGAAAACACTATAGGAAATCTTGATTGCATTGGCAGTGATTGCATGGATATGACATCAAAAGTGCAAACAAGGAAAAAATTGATAAATGACCTTCATTAAAAGGCAATCTACTCAATGGGAGAAAATATTTGCAAATCATATATCTGATAAAGAATTAATATCCAAAAGATATAAAGAACTCTTTAAACTCAAAAACAACAACAACAACAAAAACAACCCAATTTAAGAAAATGGGCAGGAGACATAAATAGATATTTCTTCAAAGTAGATATACAAATGGTTAACAAACACATGAAAAGACCCTGACCATCACTAGTTTAGGGAAACACACAATGAGAGAACCACTTCACACCTACCAGGTTGGCTATAATACAAAAAATGGAAAATAAGTGCTGGCTAGGAGGTAAAGAAGTTGAAACCCTCGTGCATTACTGGTGGGAATATAAGATGGTTAAACATAGAACTACCACATGTCTCAGCAATTCCATTCCTAGGCTTATATCCAATAAAATTGAAAGCAGGAGCTCAAATAGATATTTGTATACCAATGTTCATAGCCAAAAGATGAAAACAATTTAAGTGTCCATCAATAGATGAGTGGATAAGCAAAATAAATTATACACATTCAGTGAAATGCAATTCAGCTGTAAAAGGGAGAGAAATTTTGATATATGCTACAACATGGATAGAGCTTGAAAATATGATGCTTAATGAAATAAGCCAGACACAGAAGGACAAGTATTGTACAGTTCCACTTGCGTGAGGTACCTAGAATAGGCAAATTCATAGAGTCAGAAAGCAAAATGCAGGTTGCCAGGGTCTGAGGAGGAGAAAAGGTAGGTTACTATTTAATGGATGTATAATTTTTATTGGGCATAATGAAAAAGTTTTGGGAAGTGGTGGTGGTGATGGTGATAACACAACATTTTGAATGAATTTGATGCCCTTGAATTGTGCATTTACAAATGGTTAAAATTATTAATATTATGCTATGTATATTTTACCACAATGAAAAATAAGAACCCATCTGAGGTTTTTATTTATGAATTTGAAGTGAGTCTAGTCAGTATGGTTGAATATTTTCTTTGCATCACATTTGCAGAGGAGATTGACATGGCAATGAATAATTGAGATAGTTTACATCTGATGGGAAGACACTCTACTATTCATATGGAAAAGGCTTTATGAATTTAGAGAACTAAGAGTTTAGAGTGAGTTATGGTGGGTGGAAAAGGCTTTATGAAGGATGTAGAATCTGAATAGAGCCCTGAAGGGTTTTAGTATTTGGGCATATGAAAGAAGAGGAAATTAAATCTTGGCGAGGGAAACAAGATATGTAAGTCTTGGATTCTGTAATTAGCATACTATATTCCAGGGTAATGGTATGGGCTAAGTATAAGCAAATAATTAATGTAAAGTGGTATGGGATTAGGACATGGAAAGTGATGTAAAGCTGATTTGTAAAAAGACCTTGAATACTAGGGTGAAGAGTTTGGACATTTTCTTCTATGCAGTTGGGTGCCTGTGTGCTAAAGCAGAGAGGTGATATGATACGTTCAATATTTGAGGACAGTTATATGAGTGGCACTATACAGGGTAGATTAAAGTGAAGTAATAAAATATTAAATAAGAACTTTAGAGAAATTGTTTCTCTTCCTAAATCTAACAAAACTAGCTCTGTGACTTTGGAGAAGTCACTTAACCTCTTTAAGCTTCAGATTTCTCATCTGTAAAATTAAGGGATTGAATGCTTCATTATGACAGAATATTATAAAGTCATTTAAAGGTTATACCTTTAAAGCATATTTAGCATTCACTGGTAATATGCTTATAGTAAATATTAATTGAAGGAAACTGTACACTAAAATTTCTATAGAGGAGTCCCATTAAAAATTAAAACTGCTTGTAAGTTTATGTGTAATTATGAACATTATCACTTTAAAAGGGATGTAAGTAAATGCAGCAAAATCATAAGGGTTTTGTATAAGAAGTGATTTCTTCATTATATTTAATGTTTTTAGTTTTTCTAAATGTAATGAGTATGCACTATTTTTTAATTAGAAAAAGTAGTGTTTTTATTGCAGATTAGAACTTGGGAGTCCGGAACATTATCATATTATTGTCAAGGTGTGATAGGGATCCAATGTGGGAAGATGGTTATGTGTATGCCTAGAAAGAGACCCTAAGAAACATCTGAGGGCTATCGGCAGTAATTAGAAGTCCTAATTAGTAATTAGGTGAGAATTAAAAGTCCTCTCACAATCTGCTTTCCTTTCCTTTAGTTCCTTTACTGAAGAGGACCTCTGGAGAAATTTCCATTTACTGAGCATATCTGACTCATTCCAAATTGATTCTCATAAATCCAACTGGGCTCTGACCACTCTTTGGCAATTCAGTTATGTTTGTTTATTTGACACAGTGAATACTCTTCACACTGTCTATTCCAAAGTTTTGGCTCTCTCCTTAAGATACCTAATTACTAAATTCTTTTGTCTTTATTTTCACTTATGATAAAAATTTCCTCGTAAAAATATGTTCAATTTGAACCTTAATCTCCCCCTTATATTGCATGTAACTATTAATAGTGCCTCATTTCACTCTGAAGAGTACATGCAGTTTGGAAAATGAGTTGCATGTCACCATAACTTTAAGAAACATATAAAACTATTTTGTAGTTGTGTTGGGGGTTCCCAAGAGCAATTTCAATACTGGTGATTCACTAGAAGGACTCCTATGCCTCAGAAAAACTGTTACACTTACAAAATTATTTATTTATTACAACAACAGGATATCGACTAAAATCAGCAAAAAGGAAAAGGGAAATGGGGCAAAATCCAGGAGGAACTAGGCACAATGTTCCAGGTGCTCTCTCCTAGTGGAGTTTCCTAGATGTACTAATTTCCCAGTAATCATGTGTGACAAGGAAGAAGTGTTGTTAAACAAGGAAGCTTACTTGAACCTTGATATTCAGAGTTTTTATTTGGGGTCAATCACATTAGATAGGTCTTTCTTGGGAATGTGCAGGGTTTGAGCAACTCAGACCTGCTGTGTGAACACTTTTCTGCATGACACTTTCTGTGAGAATTCAGTTTTCTAAAGTTCTCACCTTGTAGCATCTTAAAGCATTTGTATTATTTTTCTCATGGAGGAAGGAAAGACATGGTGAAAGTAACTGTGATTATTAAGTGTCCGCAAAGCACCATGCTTAGGGTTTGCATGAGTTATTTTATTTAATTTTTACAATAATTCCATTAATGAAGTGTTGCCTGCTTCAAGAGATTATCCTAAGTCTCTCTTCTTTTCTTTTCTCTCTGCTTCTTTTCTGCTGATTTCTTCAAATTAATACATTATATATTTTTCAGGGATCACCACCTAAAATATTGTTCTGAAGTTACTTTCCTAAGTTCCTAGCAGTCATTTACATGAAGCTAATGTTCTTTTTCTCACTTTTTATCTTTCTTGTTACTGCTGCAACAGGTGGTTGATCAGGTCCTTCTTGGAAATCTCTCCTCCCTTAACATCAGTTACATTCACTATTTAGGCTTTCTTCTTACCTCTCCAACTTGTCCTTTGCTAGTTTTATGCTTCTCTTTCCCATTTTTATTCCATTTGATTCCTGGAAATACAGGATATTAGATCATTTGAAACTCCTCACACTATAAAAATGCTAGATAATATATGGCAAGCATCCTTTGAAATGAAGAGATGAGTTTTCTAGAAAGCAAGAACTTTCTAGAGGTGTCCTCTCTTGAGGGCTAAGTAGTTGTTAATGCTTTGTCTTGTGGAATGTAGACTGTTTGGGTTTTGATAACCATGTCAGCTAGATGCTGGTGAGTAGAAACTGATGCCTATATATAAAGCAAAGATTTTCTAAGGGCTCTATCAGTGAAAGGACAGGTTGGCAGAAAAAATCCCATGCACCAGCAAAGAAAAACTGCAAGAAAGCATTCTATTTTGGCCTGGATTTAAAATATAATTCTTTTCTGATAACTCATAATAATAAATCTGCACTTATGCAAATAGCATTTGTATTATATGCATGGTTTTGGAAGGCTTTAACCTGAGAAAATAACATATAAAGTAGTTTTATGGTGGTACCATCCCTAGGATGCTTGGCAGAAGCAAAACCTGTCTGGACGGGAACTGTCCTCAACCAAGGCCTCACAAGATTCTCAGAAATAAATCCTACTGAACGTGACTTCACATTCCATAATTCAAAATTTCACAAGTAAATAGCATTTCTGCAGAGAGAACAAACATCAGAATTAGGCTCTTCTAAAAACTTTAGAAAATAGAATGATCAGATAGACACTACAAAATAGTCTCTTATGTTTCCTAAAATTACAACCACCATACAGTTTGTTCTCCATGTGCATGTGCTTTTCAGAATGAAATGGGGCACTTATTAATAACTGTACACAGGACAAGTGTTCTAATTTGGCATTGTTCCGGGTCAACTGAGATCTATGGTTACTCTAAAATAAATCACTCAAATATTTTTTTACTTTGGCCTACTTTTACATTGATAAAATAATAAAGTATATTCACTTAAATTATTCTATTTCATTTATAATTTTCATTAATTCAGATTGAGATGTTTCTTAAGTTGGCAAGTTCTTACTATCTTGCTATTGCTTTTTTGGCATACGTATTTTTCTTAAGATGACTAGATAGCCAAATATACAGAATAAAACAGTGAATAATGGGTGAGTGAAGCCACTCTTATGGTGATATCAAATAATAAAAAGTAGTGGCAACTTATACTCTATAGTGTTAGTATGACAAAGATATAAAGGGTGAAGGCGCTTGCCTCTTTTGCTTTATTTTGGCTAAAAGTTTCCAAATTTTTAGGTTTAAGTAAAGCAAGATACAATTAGTAGTGGGAAGAAGAATGGAGGATTCTTGAGTTTTTTCCATGTAACCATGAATCACTTTATTTATTTTGTCCATAGACATTGTTTTATGCACACACTAATTTGAAGTCCCTTGTCATGAATCCTCTAGCAACTGATTGGGAACATCTGCTTTATATAAGAGCTTTCCCTAGAGAACAGACACCCAAAACGGATTTCTCCAAAGCCCAGGGTGTATATGAAATTCTATTTATTTTCATGGTAGTGGGGAAATAGCTGAAAACAAATTGGACTACAAGAATTATTTTTCTATCTCCAGGAGTTGGCAAACTCTAAAGACTGCAAAACAAACCCATTTTTGTACAAATCTATTTTTGTACAACTCAGGAACTTAACACGGTTTTGAAGTTTTAGATGTTTGAGAAAGAACAAATCAAAATTAGAATACTATTTTGTGTCAAATTGTATGAAATTCAAATCTTAGTGTCCATAGATAAAAATTCTATTAGAATATAGCCATGCTCATTCATTTATAATTGTCTATGGTGGCTTTTGTGTTACAATATCAGAGTTGAATACTTGCAACAGAGACCATATAGTCTGCAAAACCTAAAATCCTTACTATCTGACCCTTTGTAGCAAAAGCTTGTTGGTCCCTGATACATTTAGTCAGGAAAATGATATGTTCCCTTTCTCTTTTTGTTCTATGACTTTTATAATCAGAAATTTTTACAAATCTGAAGTGAAGTTAGTCTTGTGAGAAAGCTTTGGGTTAGTGTTATAAGTCAGTGAGCTATTCAATTTTCTTTCAATGCACTAACCTTTCTGTTCTTTCTAACTTATAGTTCTAATATCTGGCATCTGAAGTACATTTTAATAAGATTTCCTTTTCACTAAATTGTTTAAATAATGACAAAATAGTAACATTCACATGAAAACTATGAGACACATCTTAACATTTGTATTTTTGAAGAGTTTATCTTCCTCATAGCAGTAATACTGTAAGTTTGTGCTTCCAGTTTCACATGATTCCGCAATAAGAATAAAGGAGGCAGGTGCTTTCCCTCTTTCTGATCTGTCAACCTCAGAGGATTGAATTATGTCCTGAGGCCTTTAACTTCACCGTAGCAAGGAACAGAAGCAGCTCATTTTCAGTTCTCACATGAAAATGAACAAATGTAGAAATGGGGAGGACTTAATTCGTGTAACTCTTTTATGAAGGATAAGACTTGCTCAAATCATCCTAGAAGATTTCCCCTTATGTCTTACTAGCCATGGTTTTAAAAATGACTATATCTAAGTGATCTGCTGGGAAATATTAAACAGAACACATCAAAGGTCATCCACTTGGATATTCAAACGTCTGAATAAAACCAAGAATTTCTAAGCAAAGATGAGAAACTAGCAATGATTGTTGAACAAGAAATCAAGAGTATCTGCCCTAACTTTTAAATTTATATTCCTATTTCAGTAAATTTCCATGTAAAAATGCACGCTTTGTCTTGAAGTAAAAGTAGAAATCATGCACATTAATAAAATATGAGCTTTATGAAATCCTAAAAGAGGTAAAATCTCATGAGTAAAAAGATACTCCCAAGAATGTACAAATATGAAACTGATCCCAATAAAAAAGAAAAGGAAAAGGAATGTTAACATATTTGCATGGCCAGAGAATTGGCAAAGAAAGGTCCTTAAATTTGTAAAAAGTTCAAGTAAAAGGATGTAAAGGAAGGCACACAACCAAAAAAATTGGGACAGAAATTAAATTGTATGTCTTGTGCTGACCTCTTTGATTCTCTTAAAAAATGAGTGTAGTCGTTGAGAGTAGATAGGAGTTTGACAACATGGATTAAGCTCCATTGCCACTATTCATAATTGTGAGACCTGAGAGAAGTTGCTTAATAATCTTAATTTTTGAGTTACTCATTCAATAAATGGGTGTAATAAAAATAACTAATATGAAGTTTTGAAACTTAGCTGAAATAATAGATTGCAGTGCATGGAAGTTTCTGTTGGTTGGTTGACATGATACTTATTTCCAATGTCTCTTATCCCTTGCTGTCTCCACTATAGAGATTAGACAAGCTAAATACTCTCTTTTCCATCCTTTCTTACAGCTAAGGTTGGTTCTATAACTCTACTTTAACTA
Source organism: Homo sapiens (assembly GCF_000001405.40). Classification (NCBI taxonomy): domain Eukaryota; kingdom Metazoa; phylum Chordata; class Mammalia; order Primates; family Hominidae; genus Homo; species Homo sapiens. Next base: position 97,747,069 of record NC_000004.12, on the reverse strand, counting down.
TGAAACCTAAAGAGAAGACTTTTGGGGATATTACTGTAAAAGATTTTTTTTTTTTTTGTATAAAAACAGATTGCACATGCTATCCTTCCCACACTTTTCCTGACTTCAAAATAGATTCATTTATGCATTTAGCATATATTTACCGAGTGTCTACTATTAGAAAGGCACTGTTCTACATACCTGGAACATGGTATATAGCAATAGACACTGTAATCAGAAGATGCAGAGGGATATTTTAGCTTATGAGTTTCTCATTGCTGTGATTATTTCTGGGATACTTTCGAGGTGCACAGAGAGCTGAATCTGCTGTTCCCTTTGCCATATTTAGGTAAAGAAAAGTTATTTAACAGCAACAGTGCTGTCAGTATAATTAGTTTAAACCTCTTAAACCCCTCCTTTCTTTTATTCCACTGCTAGTCATTAATACCTTTGTGATTTAGCTGACTAGATTTTGGATATGTGCTTATCTCATATTATATGCACTCTCTACTAAATCCTGACACAACTGTGACCCAGGACTTTGTCTTTTGTATGTACTCCATGACTGAATTAAAGCTACTTCTCAGTATTATTCTTTAATGAAAAAGTTTTGTCCCTTCTGTTTCTGTCAATTGGAGAAATTATTGGAGACATTCAACTGTTAAGTCAGATAATCACATTGTGAGTATGTTGCAGAGGCAGTCTCAGTGGATAAAACAGGGGAACAAATAATTTTTCAGTACTTTTAGCTTTAAAATTCATGGACTTAAATATGAATATCATTCCAGCAAAGTTATATATAGCTGTGTTTTTAATGTTTTAATGGTGTCTTTTAATTTAGTGAGTTAAAGATACACATTTATATGTTTTATGTGTATACAAGGTAATAGAATATATAGAAGGCTTAGCAATAAAGTAATTATACTGTCTGTAATTCTTATGAATCTGTGTGTTTCATAACTTTTTATTCAGACATGCTTCATCTATCATTATCAAATGACCATCTGTGGAGAGAAAAATAAACCTGATGTAAAGGTTATAACGTTACACAGAAATCAGCTATTGAAACATCTAAAAACTTTCAGAGAAAAAGATGAGATACTTAAGCCTGAAAGATAAATTAGCTCAAACAACTCTCATCTTCCATTACTACATCTTATGTAGAAAACTAGAAATCCAGATGTTAAGATTAACTCTTTATTTTTCTACAAGTATTGAAATGCAATGACATTTGAGAACTTTTATTTTGTTAGTCTTCTAGCTGCTTTTTAATTGACTCAGAGAAATGTTTCATGAAGATAAAATCATAAGCACATATGGTATGAGCTTTCCTCAAGTTTTCTCAACTGAATTTTAATCTAGATTCATTGAAAAATATAGTCCTATGTAAATCAGCATAGCACTGTTTTATTCACCCAAGGTTTTACTAAACTCTAATAGAACACATAATGTTTTCTTATAAATTAAGAGAACAGTTTTTTAGACATTTTATTTATGACTATTAATTTTACTAAAGCTCTTTCATGGTAAAAATGTTTATCTTAATGGAATATATGAAGCTGTGATATTTCATAATTATAGCATAGTTTAAAGTCCTTGTGAATGAATATAAAAAATGATTTTCTAAAATCAGTAGACTAAGGGGGAAATGAAGAGGAAAAAGTATCTTTAGTTTTTAAGGCTATCTTCTGTAGAGAGATTAACACAGAATTTTATAGATTGATTTAAAATGGAATAAAATTAAATATGTCATAATTGCTTTTTATTGATTTGAATTTGATTTATTGGACCAATTTAGGGCACTTTTCTGCAATTGTTTTTTTTTTTGTTTTTTTGTTTTTTTTTTAGTTTTATGCCATGGTTTCTGAAAGAAAGGTAATAATGACTTAAATTTGACTGAAAGTAGTTCTAGCTTAGACTCACGTTTTGAAGTATCAATACAAGTTCGTAATTTATACCATATTATAGGCAAATTTTTCAATCTCTTCTTACAACATTGGTGGCCTAATTTTAGATTGACCAAATAGGCAATTTTATAAGAAACTACTTTTGGAAGTACCACTCAGTATAACCAAGAAAAATGAACATCTCATTAGTAACTGGAGTAACACTTTTTAAAGCATTGCAGTGTTGTTTTATGTGAAGAGCAGATGATAAAGAAGAGAAAGAAATTTACTGGAGCCTTCCATTTGAGCCTTGTAATTTGATTTAATTTTCTGAATACAGTAGTCCTTCCTTAACCACTCTTTCACTTTCTGCGGGTTTCCGTTACTTGTGGCCAACAGCAATCTGAAAATATTACAGTATATTTATAGAGAGAGACAGACAACATTCACATAGCTTTTATACAGCATAGTGTTATCATTGTTGTATTTTATTATTAGTTATTGTTGTTAATTTCCTGCTGTGCCAATTTATAAATTAAACATTATCGCAGCTATGTATTTATAGGAAAAATCATGGTATGTACAGGGTTCTGTAGCATCCACAGTTTCAGGCATCCACTGGGGGTCTTAGGAAGTATCCCCTGAAGATAATGGGGGGACTAATATATAGTAATAAGAATCTAATAGTAAGCAAAACCAATTAAAACTATTATTAAAAATAAAAAATTATATTGCCAAATGTTTAATAGAATTAAACACCTTTATTTAAATATTTATTGGAATTGAATACACATGAGTAATGAGACACTTCTATTCCTCAACTCCTCCCTACTTCCTCCCAACAATTAAAAAGCCATTTGACATCAAGATAAGACCACACAATAATTACCTAGGGGCTTATTTTCATCACAGCTTATTCTACATTACTCAAAATACTACATATTATATATTATGAGTAATATAAATGAAATTATTTTTATAGGAAATAATGTTACAGAAGAAGAAAAGAATATTGTCATCTGGGAAACCATTGTTTCATTATTCTCATATATATGTGGAAAGATGTGATTTAAGAGTCTTCTATAACACAGCTCTGATCATGCCATTCCCTAGCTCACCAGCATATCAAGGCTCACTATTGACTATTATATAAATGCAAAGGCTTCGACCTATGTATTATAGCATCTAACTCTCCTTTTCAGTCCTATTATTTTTTATTCTTCATTCCCTCTGTATTCTAATCCTCTACTGTATCCTCTACATGCCTTATGCTTTGCTATGTAAGAACTTCGCTTATGCTCTTTCTTTCACCTATGAATACTTGCACCTATTTAGCAAAATCCTACTAGCTTTTCTACTCCTATCTAAAATGTCCTCTTTTGGGAAGATTTTTCCCATTCTTCCAAGCAAATGAACTTTCTCACTATTTAGAACCCCATGGAATTAATGGTACTAATCTTCTATCTTGCATTACAGGCATATATGTGCATTTGTCTCATTTCTACTTTCCATTCCATTGAAATTTCTTTGAGGTAGAACTTGAATATTTTTCCTCTTTGTATCCCCTCTAGCACAAAGATGCTAAATAAATTCTGCTTTATTGAACAAATGATATGAGATATGGCATCTTCTTTAACTTGTTTCCTCAGATTAGTCCTCCAGAATGTAAAATGAAAGATCAACTATTGACAGGTGATTCAATTTGGACCAAAATGATTACATCTTTTGTTTATCATACTCTTCCAGAAGAAAAATGACTTAAAATTCAGATGTCTTTGGTTGTGTAAATAACAATAAGTCTATGTAAGTGAAAGAATGGTCAAAATGTAAACATTTCCCTAAAACCTGGAGCTGAGTGTATTTAATGTAATATATCATCCCTTTGCTTACTCTGATAATATTAAAAAGCAACTACTCTGAACAAAGGCACAGTGCTAGGTGTGGAGAATAATAAACTAACCTATTGGGCAACATCACTCTCAAAAATGACTTGTTCACAGTACAACCAAAATCTTCCAGATCTTCGCTCTTGACACTCTGTGATGTATACCTTAAGAGGAAACAAAATAAAAGAAAACTAGAATTGCTTTTCTTACTGTCTCACTGTATACCTGAAACAAAAGGCACTTTATGTTTTTATGACATAATAGCTTTTTTACTTTTAATATATTTCTATTATATATATTTAAGGTATACAACATGATGTTTTATATGCATATACATAGTGAAATGATTATTACAGTGAAGCCAATTAACATCTCCCTCATTTTACATATTATTTTTGTGTGTTATAAGAACCACTAAAATCTACCCTCAGCAAATTTCTAGTATACAATGCAATATTATTAACTATCATCCTCATGCTGTACTTGAGATCTCTAGAAGTCTTCATCCTATATCACTGAAACTTTGTACCTTTTTGCCTACATGTCTCCATCTGTACCCATATCTCAGGTTACCAACTGTTTTACTCTGTTTTTGTTTTTTTTTAAATATTCCACACGTAAGCAAAATCATGCAGTATTTGCTTTTCTGTGACCAGATAACATTATTTGGAATAATGTCCTTCAGTTTCATCCATGTTGTTGCAAAAGGTAAGATCTTTTTAAAGACCTGATAGTATTCCATATATATATAGACACACACACACACACACACACACACACACACACACACACACACACAGTTTATTCATTCATCCATTGATGGACAATTAGGTTGTTCCCATATCTTGGTTATTGTGAACAATGCCAAAATGAACATGGCAGTGCAGCTATCTCTTTAAGAAGTACTGATTTTATTTTCTTTTTATTATTATTATTTTATTTTATTTTATTATTATTATACTTTAAGTTTTAGGGTACATGTGCACAATATGCAGGTTACTTACATATGTATACATGTGCCATGCTGGTGTGCTGCACCCATTAACTCGTCATTTAGCATTAGGTATATCTCCTAATGCTATCCCTCCTTCCTCCCCCAACCCCACAACAGTCCCCAGAGTGTGATGTTCTCCTTCCTGTGTCCATGTGTTCTCATTGTTCAATTCCCACCTATGAGTGAGAATATGCGGTGTTTGGTTTTTTTTTCTTGCGATAGTTTACTGAGAATGATGATTTCCAATTTCATCCATGTCCCTACAAAGGACATGAACTCATCATTTTGTATGGCTGCATTGTATTCCATGGTGTATATGTGCCACATTTTCTTAATCCAGTCTATCATTGTTGGACATTTGGGTTGGTTCCAAGTCCTTGCTATTGTGAATAGTGCCACAATAAACATACGTGTGCATGTGTCTTTATAGCAGCATGATTTATAGTCCTTTGGGTATATACCCAGTAATGGGATGGCTTGGTCAAATGGTATTTCTAGTTCTAGATCCCTGAGGAATCGCCACACTGACTTCCACAATGGTTGAACTAGTTTACAGTCCCACCAACAGTGTAAAAGTGTTCCTATTTCTCCACATCCTCTCCAGCACCTGTTGTTTCCTGACTTTTTAATGATTGCCATTCTAACTGGTGTGAGATGGTATCACATTGCGGTTTTGATTTGCATTTCTCTGATGGCCAGTGATGGTGAGCAATTTTTCATGTGTTTCTTGGCTGCATACATGTCTACCTTTGAGAAGTGTCTGTTCATGTCCTTTGCCCACTTTTTGATGGGGTTGTTTGTTTTTTTCTTGTAAATTTGTTTGAGTTCATTGTAGATTCTGGATATTAGCCCTTTGTCAGATGAGTAGGTTGCAAAAATTTTCTCCCATTTTGTAGGTTGCCTGTTCACTCTGATGGTAGTTTCTTTTGCTGTGCAGAAGCTCTTTAGTTTAATGAGATCCCATTTGTCAATTCTGGCTTTTGTTGCCATTGCTTTTGGTGTTTTAGACATGAAGTACTTGCCCATGCCTATATCCTGAGTGATAATGCCTAGGTTTTCTTCTAGGGTTTTTATGGTTTTAGGTCTAATGTTTAAGTCTTTAGTCCATCTTGAATTAATTTTTGTATAAGGTGTAAGGAAGGGATCCAGTTTCAGCTTTCTACATATGGCTAGCCAGTTTTTCCAGCAGCATTTATTAAATAGGGAATCCTTTCCCTATTGCATATTTTTCTCAGGTTTGTCAAAGATCAGATAGTTGTAGATATGCGGTGTTTTTTCTGAGGGCTCTGTTCTGTTCCATTGATCTATATCTCTGTTTGGTACCAGTACCATGCTGTTTTGGTTACTGTAGTCTTGTAGTATAGTTTGAAGTCAGGTAGCATGATGCCTCCAGCTTTGTTCTTTTGCCTTAAGATTGACTTGGCGATGCGGGCTCTTTTTTGGTTCCATATGAACTTTAAAGTAGTTTTTTTCCAATTCTGTGAAGAAAGTCATTGGTAGCTTGATGGGGATGGCATTGAATGTATAAATTACCTTGGGCAGTATTGCCATTTTCACGATATTGATTCTTCCTACTCATGAGCATTGAATGTTCTTCCATTTGTTTGTATCCTCTTTTATTTCCTTGAGCAGTGGTTTGTAGTTCTCCTTGAAGAGGTCCTTCACATCCCTTGTAAGTTGGATTCCTAGGTATTTTATTCTCTTTGAAGAAATTGTGAATGGGAGTTCATTCATGATTTGGCTCTCTGTTTGTCTGTTATTGGTGTATAAGAATGCTTGTGATTTTTGTACATTGATTTTGTATCCTGAGACTTTGCTGAAGTTGCTTATCAGCTTAAGGAGATTTTGGGCTGAGACAATGGGGTTTTCTAGATATACAATCATGTCATCTGCAAACAGGGACAATTTGACTTCCTCTTTTCCTAATTGAATACCCTTTATTTCTTCTCCTGCCTAATTCCCTGGCCAGAACTTCCAACACTATGTTGAATAGGAGTGGTGAGAGGGGGCATCCCTGTCTTGTGCCAGTTTTCAAAGGGAATGCTTCCAGTTTTTGCCCATTCAGTGTGATATTGGCTGTGGGTGTGTCATAGATAGCTGTTATTATTTTGAGATACGTCCCATCAATACCTAATTTATTGAGAGTTTTTAGCATGAAGCGTTGTTGAATTTTGTGAAAGGCCTTTTCTGCATCTATTGAGATAATCCTGTGGTTTTTTTCTTTGGTTCTGTTTATATGCTGGATTACATTTATTGATTTGTGTATATTGAACCAGCCTTGCATCCCAGGGATGAAGCCCACTTGATCATGGTGGATAAGCTTTTTGATGTGCTGCTGGATTCGGTTTGCCAGTATTTTATTGAGGATTTTTGCATCAATGTTCATCAAGGATATTGGTCTAAAATTCTCTTTTTTTGTTGTGTCTCTGCCCGGCTTTGGTATCAGGATGATGCTGGCATCATAAAATGAGTTAGGGAGGATTCCCTCTTTTTTATTGATTGGAATAGTTTCAGAAGGAATGATACCAATTCCTCCCTGTACCTCTGGTAGAATTTGGCTGTGAATCCATCTGGTCCTGGACTCTTTTTGGTTGGTAAACTACTGATTATTGCCACAATTTCAGAGCCTGTTATTGGTCTATTCAGAGATTCAACTTCTTCCTGGTTTACTCTAGGGAGGGTGTATGTGTCGAGGAATTTATCCATTTCTTCAAGATTTTCTAGTTTATTTGCGTAGAGGTGTTTGTAGTATTCTCTGATGGTAGTTTGTATTTCTGTGGGACCAGTGGTGATATCCCCTTTATCGTTTTTTATTGCGTCTATTTGATTCTTCTCTCTTTTCTTCTTTATTAGTCTTGCTAGCAATCTATCAATTTTGTTGATCCTTTCAAAAAACCAGCTCCTGGATTCATTAATTTTTTGAAGGGTTTTTTGCGTCTCTATTTCCTTCAGTTCTGCTCTGATTTTAGTTATTTCTTGCCTTCTGCTAGCTTTTGAATGTGTTTGCTCTTGCTTTTCTAGTTCTTTTAATTGTGATGTTAGGGTGTCAATTTTGGATCTTTCCTGCTTTCTCCTGTAGGCATTTAGTACTATAAATTTCTCTCTACACACTGCTTTGAATGTGTCCCAGAGATTCTGGTATGTTGTGTCTTTGTTCTCGTTGGTTTCAAAGAACATCTTGATTTCTGCCTTCATTTCATTATGTACCCAGTAGTCATTCAGGAGCAGGTTGTTCAGTTTCCATGTAGTTGAGCGGTTTTGAGTGAGTTTCTTAATCCTGAGTTCTAGTTTGATTGCACTGTGGTCTGAGAGATAGTTTGCTATAATTTCTGTTCTTTTACATTTGCTGAGGAGAGCTTTACTTCCAACTATTTGGTCAATTTTGGAATAGGTGTGGTGCGGTGCTGAAAAAAAATGTATATTCTGTTGATTTGGGGTGGAGAGTTCTGTAGATGTCTATTAGGTCCACTTGGTGCAGAGCTGAGTTCAATTCCTGGGTATCCTTGTTGACTTTCTGTCTTGTTGATCTGTCTAATGTTGACAGTGGGGTGTTAAAGTCTCCCATTATTATTGTGTGGGAGTCTAAGTCTCTTTGTAGGTCACTCAGGACTTGCTTTATGAATCTGGGTGCTCCTGTATTGGGTGCATATATATTTAGGATAGTTAGCTCTTCTTGTTGAATTGATCCCTTTACCATTGTGTAATGGCCTTGTTTGTCTCTTTTGATCTTTGTTGGTTTGAAGTCTGTTTTATCAGAGACTAGGATTGGAACCCCTGCCTTTTTTTGTTTTCCATTTGCTTGGTAGATCTTTCTCCATCCTTTTATTTTGAGCCTATGTGTGTCTCTGCACGTGAGATGGGTTTCCTGAATACAGCACTCTGATTGGTCTTGACTCTTTATCCAATTTGCCAGTCTGTGTCTTTTAATGGGAGCATTTAGTCCATTTACGTTTAAAGTTAATATTGTTATGTGTGAATTTGATCCTGTCATTTTAATGTTAGCTGGTTATTTTGCTCGTTAGTTGATGCAGTTTCTTCCTAGCCTCGATGGTCTTTACAATTTGGCATGATTTTGCAGTGGCTGGTACCCATTGTTCCTTTCCACGTTTAGTGCTTCCTTCAGGAGCTCTTTTCGGGCAGGCCTGGTGGTAACAAAATCTCTCAGCATTTCCTTGTCTGTAAAGTATTTTGTTTCTCCTTCACTTATGAAGTTTAGTTTGGCTGGATATGAAATTCTGGGTTGAACATTCTTTTCTTTAAGAATGTTGAATATTGGCCTTCGCTCTCTTCTGGCTTGTAGAGTTTCTGCCAAGAGATCCGCTGTTAGCCTGATGGGCTTCCCTTTGTGGGTAACCCGACCTTTCTCTCTGGCTGCCCTTAACATTTTTTCCTTCATTTCAACTTTGGTGAATCTGGCAATTTTGTGTCTTGGAGTTGCTCTTTGCAAGGAGTATCTTTGTGGCATTCTCTGTATTTCCTGAATCTGAATGTTGGCCTGCCTTGCTAGATTGGGGAAGTTCTCCTGGATAATATCCTGAAGAGTGTTTTCCAGCTTGGTTCCATTCTCCCCGTCACTTTCAGGTACACCGATGAGACGTAGATATGGTCTTTTCACATAGTCCCATATTTCTTGAATGCTTTGTTTGTTTCTTTTTATTTTTTTTTCTCTAAGCTTCCCTTCTCGCTTCATTTCATTCATTTCATCTTCCATCACTGATACCCTTTCTTCCAGTTGATCACATCAGCTCCTGAGGCTTCTGCATTCTTCACGTAGTTCTCGAGCCTTGGCTTTCAGCTCCATCAGCTCCTTTAAGCATTTCTCTGTATTGGTTATTCTAGTTATACATTCGTCTAAATTTTTTTCAAAGTTTTTAACTTCTTTGCCTTTGATTTGAATTTCCTCCTGTAGCTCGGAGTAGTTTTATCGGCTGAAGCCTTCTTCTCTCAACTCGTCAAAGTCATTCTCCGTCCAGCTTTGTTCCGTTGCTGGTGAGGAACTGTGTTCCTTTGGAGGAGGATAGGCACTCTGCTTTTTAGAATTTCCAGTTTTTCTGCTCTGTTTTTTCCACATCTTTGTGGTTTTATCTACCTTTGGTCTTTGATGATGGTGACATACAGATGGGGTTTTGGTGTGGATGTCCTTTCTGTTCATTAGTTTTCCTTCTAACAGACAGGACCCTCCGCTGCAGGTGTGTTGGAGTTTGCTAGAGGTCCACTCCAGACCCTGGTTGCCTGGGTTCCAGCAGCGGTGGCTGCAGAACAGCGTATTTTTGTGAACCGCGAATGCTGCTGTCTGGTCGTTCCTCTGGAAGTTTTGTCTCAGAGGAGTACCCGGCCGTGTGAGGTGTCAGTCTGCCCCTACTGGGGGGTGCCTCCCTGTTAGGCTGCTGGGGGGTCAGGGGTCAGGGACCCACTTGACAAGGCAGTCTGCCCATTCTCAGATCTCCATCTGCGTGCTGGGAGAACCACTGCTCTCTTCAAAGCTGTCAGACAGGGACATTTAAGTCTGCAGAGGTTACTGCTGTCTTTTTGTTTGTTTGTGCCCTGCCCCAGAAGTGGAGCCTACAGAGGCAGGCAGGCCTCCTTGAGCTGTGGTGGGCTCCACCCAGTTCGAGCTTCCCGGCTCCTTTGTTTACCTAAGCAAGCCTGGGCAATGACAGGTGCCCCTCCCCTAGCCTGGCTGCCACCTTGCAGTTTGATCTCAGGCTGCTGTGCTAGCAATCAGTGAGACTCCGTGGGCATAGGACCCTCTGAGCCAGGTGCGGGATATAATCTCCTGGTGTGCCGTTTTTTAAGCCCGTTGGAAAAGCGCAGTAATGGGGTGGGAGTGACCCAATTTTCCAGGTGCCATCTGTCACCCCTTTCTTTGACTAGGAAAGGGAACTCCCTGACCCCTTGTGCTTCCTGAGTGAGGCAATGCCTCGCCCTGCTTCGACTCGCGCACGGTGTGCTGCACCCACTGTCCTGCGCCCACTGTCTGGCACTCCCTAGTGAGATGAACCTGGTACCTCAGATGGAAATGCAGAAATCACCCATCTTCTGCGTCGCTCACACTGGTAGCTGTAGACTGGAGCTGTTCCTATTCGGCCATCTTGGCTGCTATCACCTTTCTGAATTTATTTTCTTTGGGTATATATTCAGAATAGGAATTGCTGGGTCATATGATAGTTCTATTTTTAATTTCTGAGGAATTGACATTTTACTTTTCATAAGGGCTGTACCAATCTACATTTCCACCAACAGTGTATAAGGGTTCTCCTTTCTGCACACCCTCACTAACACATACCTTTTATCTTTTTGGTATTTGCCATCCTAACAAGTGTGAAGTGATATTTCATTGTGGTTTTGATTTACATTTCCCTGATGATTTGTGATGTTGAGCATTTCTTATATATCCATTGGCCATTTGCATGTCTTCTTTTGAGAAATATCTACTTAGGTCCTTTGCCCATTTTTAAATCGAGTTATTTGTGTTTTTGCTATTGAGTTGTATGTGTTCCTTATATATTTAGGACATTAACCCTGTGTCTATATATAAGGTTAACATACATACACACACAGACACACATATATATAAGGATATACACGTATCCCTATATATTGTAATGATATACACATATCCTTATATATTGTAAGGATATACATGTATCCTTATATATTATAAGAATATACACATCTGTAGATATGTGTGTGTATATATATATGAATATAAATGTATAAATATAAATATATAAATATATACATATATATAAATGTAAATATGTATATGTATAAATATTTTCACCCAATCCATATTCTCCCTTTTCGTTACAGGGATGAATTATATAGCACTGAATTCTGAGATTTTACTGCATCTGTCACCTGAATAGTGTACATTGTACCTAATGTGTAGTTTTTGATCCTATTTCCCTCCCAACCTCTCCCTTCTGAGTCTCTAAAGTACATTGTATCACTCTATTTGACTTTGCATACTCATAGCTTAGCTCCCACTTATAAGTGAGAACATATGGTTTTTGGTTTTCCACTTATGTGTTATTTCACTTTGTGTATGTATATATATATAGATACACACCTATTATATCTGTATACACATCTATATATCTATATATATAACCCTGCATATATGTATATAGAAGTATATATATGAACTATATATAAATATGTAGTTCACAAATATTTTCACCCACTCCATATTCTGCATTTTCTTTTTATTGATTGTTTCCTTTGTTGTGCAGAAACTTTTTTTTTTTTTGAGACGATGTCTCGCTCTCTTGCCCAGGCTGTAGTGCAGTGACGCCATCTCAACTCACTGCCAGCTCCGCCTCCTGGGTTCATGCCATTCTCCTGCCTCAGCCTCCTGAGTAACTGGGACTACAGGCGCCTGCCACCATGCCCAGCTAATTTTTTTGTATTTTTAGTAGAGATGGGGTTTCACCATGTTAGCCAGGATGGTCTCGATCTGCTGACCTTGTGATCCACCTGCCTCGGCCCCCCAAAGTGCTAGGATTACAGGCATGAGCCACCGCCCCCGGCCGTGCAGAAACTTTTTAGTTTGATGTTGTCCTACTTGTTTATGTTTGCTTTTACTGCCTCTTCTTTTGGTGTACTAGCCAAAAAAATCATTGCCAAGGCCATTTTCTTAACTTTTTTTTCCTGCACCACATTTGATCCTTTTAGATTTATCCTTGGGAGGCATGGATGGTTCAATAAACACAAACTTATCAATGTGATATACCATATTAACAGAATAAAGTATAAGAAATATATGATCATCTCAACAGAATCATATGGTCATCTCAATAGAAAAAGTATGTTCTCACTTAATAAGTGGGAGCTAAATGATGAGAACACATGGACACATAGAGGGGAACACCACACTCTGGGGCCCATTGGAGAGTGGAGGTTGGGAGGAGGGAGAGAATCAGGAAAATTACTAATGGGTACCTGGCTTAATACCTGAGTGACAAAATAGTGTGTGTAACAAGCACTCATAACACAAGTTTACCTATGTAACAAACCTGCAACTGTACTCCTGAATTTGAAATAAAAGTTAAAAAATAATTAGCTAAGTGATAAAAAATAAAGCCTATGAGAAAATTCAATATCCTTTTATAATTAAAAATTCTCAACAAATTAGGAATAGGAGGAATATTCCTTAATACAGTAAAGGCCATATAACTCAAGTACACAGGTAACATTATACTCAATGGTGAAATGCTGAAAGCTTTTTATTTAAGATCAGGAACAAGACAAGGATGCCCACTTTTGGCACTTTTAATCAGTATAGTGCTGGAAATTTTGCCCAGAGCAATTAGGCAAGAAAAATAAATAAAATACACCCAAATCAGAAAGGAAGAAGGGAAAATATCTGCTTTCAGATGGCATGATTTTGTTTATAGAAAACTAGAAGATGATCAACTAGACATAGCCAGGAACTGCCTCTCCCACTGAGAGAAACCAAAATATCGAGTAAACCGTCACACTTCAAACAGATCCTTTGAGAGCAAACATTGAAAGTGGATAGAGAAGTGATGCTGACCCTGAGGTAGAGGAGGGAGGGAGCTGGGAACCCTGCATGGAGTTGCTGAGCAACCGGACCAGCACCTGGCCCTGAATAAGTTCTAGGGAAGGGGTGAGTGAAGGAACTGCAGGACAACACACTCTCACCATGGGCCTCTGGGATCCTAGCTACAAGAGCTTCCATGACCTCCATAGACATTTTGTTAAATTAATTTTTGTTTTAATAGCTTTTGGGGTACAAGTGTTTTTTTTTTGTTACACGAATGAATTATATAGTAGTGAATTTGCGATTTTATCTGTCACCTGAGTAATGTACATTGTACCTAATGTGTAGTTTTTGATCCCTATTCCTCTCCCACCCTCCCCCTTCTACATTCTAAAGTGCATTATATCACTCTGTATGACTTTGCATACTCGTAGCTTAGCTCCTACTTGTAAGTGAGAATATATGATTTTTGATTTTCCACTCCTGTGTTATTTCACTTAGAGTAATTGCCTCCAGCTCCATCCAAGTTTCTGCAAAAGACATTATTTCATTCCTTTTAGTGGCTGAATAGTTTTCCGTGGTGTATATACACCACGTTTTCTTTAGCTGCTCATTAGTTGATGCGCATTTAACATTGGTTCCACATCTTTGCAACTGTGAATTATGTGGCTATAAATATACATGTGCAAGTGTCTTTTAATATAATTATTATTTTTTTCCTTTGGATAGATACCCAGTAGTGGGATTGCTGGATTGAATGGTAGATCTACTCTTAACTCTTTAAGGAATCTCGATACTGTTTTCCTTAGAGGTTGTACTAATTTACATTCCCAAGAAGCAGTGTATAAGCATTCCCTTTTCCTCACTTCCAGGTCAACATCTATGGTTTTTGTTACTTTTTAATAATGACCATTCTTACAGGAGTAAAGTAGTATCTCATTGTGGTTGTAAATTGCATTTCCCTGATGATTAGTGGTTTTAGCATTTTTTCATGTTTGTTGGCCATTTTTATATCTTCTTTGGTGAAATGTCTATTCATGTCCTTCACTCACTTTTTAATGTGATTATTTTTTTTTTCTTGCTGATTTGTTTGAATTCTTTTTAGATTCTGGATATCAGTGCTTTGTCAGATGCGTAGCTTGCAAATATTTTCTCCCATCCATAGTTTCCAAATATTTTCTTGTGGGTTGTCTGTTTACTCTGCTAATTATTTCTTTTTTCTGTGCAGAAGCTTTTAACGAGGTCCTGCTTATTTATTTTTCTTTTTGTTGCATTTGTTTTTGGGGTCTTATCCTTGAATTCTTTATGTAAGCCAAATATATATAGCCAACTGATCTTTGATAAAGCATACAAAAACATAAATTGGGGAATGGACACCCTATTTAATAAATGGTGTGCTGGGAAAACTGGCAAGCCATATGAAGACGAATGAAACTGGATCGCTATCTCTCACCTTATAAAAATATCAATTGAAGATGGATCAATGACTTAAATATAAGACCTGAAACTATAAGCATTCTGGAAGACAACACTGGAAAAAACCCATAGAAATTTGAATGGGCAGTGGGAGCTTCCCAGAGAGGAGATGGAGGGAGAGCTCCAGCCTGTGCCAAGCCCAGAAGATTTTGTGAATGGGGCAGCTGCGGCAAAATGCGACCATAGGTGCCTGTCCCTTGAGGCTCTCCATCTTGCTCTGAGCAGCTCTGGCCCCTACTAACTGCAGGGCTGAGAGAGAGCAGGGCTGTCTTTCCTATGGGACTGGGGCCCATCTAATCTTCATGCTTACCTGTCTGTGGGCCCCTCCCAAGGACCCTGCCTGGCTGCCCCTATAAGAGCATGCACAACCTCCACTGCCCTGCCTTAGTGCTATGCTGAGGCATGGGAGCATTTTGGCCCCATGGGGGCCAAAGGACAAAGGGACCAGAGGACAAAGGGGCCAAAGGACAAAGCTGCAGGTCTGGTCCCAAACCCCCAGGTTCGTGCACACAGATCAGGAGTATCTAGCTGAGATCTGTAGATGCAGCTTAAGTGGGGAAGGAGCCCCCATCCTCAGAACACTGAGAAGAGTGAGTCCCAGGTTTCATGGACTGGTGTGGGAGCTGGACGTGCCCCTCTTCTCAAGAGCAGTCTATGAAAGGTGAACCCTCTTTGCCAACTGCAGCCTCTGCCTGAGGGAACCCAGCAGAACACCTAACAGCCCAGGCATCTGGGCACAGAAGGCTTGGGACAAAACTAGATGTTCAGGCCAGCTTCTGGGGCAGACACCGGAAGGAGACCTGGTTGGGGAAGCATGAGCTTCCTAGGCTTCATCTCTAGGCTTCCCAACCTTCCTCTCTAGGCTTCCCAACCCTCACCCAGGAGCATGCTGCAAACGCACTGAAATACAGAAGAGGCACGTGGCTAAAAATCTGTCTGTTGGCCCTTACTCTTAAGTGTAATATACTGGAGGTAGCCTAAATGACGCCACCGAACAAAAATTCTTTGAGGACACATCACCTGTGAAACCCAATGCAGGAATCTAGCCACAAATGAAGATCCTATAGAGAGGTTTGGCCCTCTGAAGCACCCAGAAACAAAGCCAATTGACTATACTCAGCGTACACCACAGTCAAACCCTCAAGGGAATTAAAGAATATAAAAACAAAAAGCTCCATCTCAATGACAGCAACTTGAAAATGATAGAGGAACACTAGCCCTCTCAGATGAGAAAGAATCAGTGAAAGAACTGTGGCAACTGATAAAGTCAGAGTGCCTCCTTGCCTCCAAATAATCACACTGGCTCCCAGCAATGGTTCCTAACCATATTGAAGTGGCTGAAATGACAAATACGGAATTCAAATCTGGATGGCACAAAAGCTCAAGATTCAGGAAAAAGTTGAAATTCAATCCAAGGAAGCTAATAAAATGATCCAAGAGTTGAAAGATAACACAGCCATTTTAAGAAAGAAGCAAACTGAACTTCTGGAGTTGAAAAATTCACTACAGGGATTTCATAATGAAGTTGGAAGTATTAATAACAGATTAGAACAAGCTGAGGAAAGAATCTCAGAGTTTGAAGACTGATTCTTTGAATCAATCCAGTCAGAAAAAAAGATTTAAAAAAAATGAACAAAACCTTTCAGAACTATGTGATTTTGTAAAGAGACCAAACCAATGACTCATTGGCATTTCTGAGAGAGGAGACAGGGTAAGCAATTTGGAAAACATATGTAAGGATATATGGCCACTGTGGAGAGCAGTTTGGAGATTCCTCAAGGAACTAAGAGTTGAACTACCATTTAACCCAGCAATCCCATTACTGGGTATTTACTCAAAGGAAAACAAATCATTCCACCAAAAAAACACATGCATCCATATGTTCATCACAGTGCTATTCACAACAGCAAAAACATGGAATCAATCTAGGCATCCATCAGTGGTGTATTGGATAAAGAAAATGTCGTACATATATACCATGGCATACTACACAGCCATAAAAAGAATGAAATCATGTCCTTTGCAGCAACATGGATGCAACTGAAGGCCATTGTCCTAATCTAAGTAATGCAGAAACAGAAAACCAAATTCCTCATGTTCTCACTTGTATGTGGGATTTAAACACTGGGTACAGGTGGACATAAAGATGGGTCAGTAGACACTGGGGAATACAAGACGAGGCAGTGAGGGAGGGAGGCAAGAGTTAAAAAAACTGCCTACTGCTTACTATGCACTCTGCCTGAGTTATGGGTTCAGTCACACTCCAAACCTCAGCATCACACAACATATCCATGTAACATCCGCATATGTACCCCTGTATCTAAAATAAAAGTTGAAAAAGAAAAGCCCTAAAGACTTCACCAAGGAACTCTGAGAACTAATAAATGAATTCAGTATAGCTGCAAGATACAAAATATACATACAAAAATCAGTAGTTTTTCTAGGCAATAACAGCAAACTATCTGAAAAAGAAATCAAGCAAAAAAATCCCATTTACAATAGCAGGAAAAAAAGGCACTTTAAAATAAATTGGCTTTATAAAGTCTATGCTTCTAAACACTTGTGACAAATTGTATTGCTCTTGTCTGGGTCCTTTAGTATTTTTCCTATGGTCTTTTACCTTAATTCCTTGTTACTCTTGTTAGGAGGGTTTATGATGTTGGATGCAGCCTGGCTTTGAATCTTTTATCTGTGGGCTAGTTCCAATCCCCTTTACTCACCTTGTACAGTTTCAAATTCCTGATTGTGTAATAGGGGAAAGAACTCCTCCCTCAAAATTCAGAGTCTGCAGAGACAGCATTATCAAAGAGACATGCCAAATTCAGTTTCTAATATATTTCTATTTTGATAACCGTTGACAAAATTAATCTGATTCCAAAGTTCTGACTAAATCACTCATATAGGTGGCTTCACCAAAATAAAAGAAACTGTGACATGAGTTATTAGATTGATGCAAAAGTAATTGTGGTTTTTGCTATTGCTTTTATTCATGGGAATTAAAGAATGGCAAAAAACATGATTACTTTTCCACCAACCAAGTACATTCTATTCTCCAAATCTGAAAGATAGCAAAAGTCATATATTCTTCCCTAAAGTCTACCAGTGTCACTCAAAGCTCCTCCAAAAGTTGATAATAGATGCTTTTTTTTTTCAACAGAAATTAGATGAGGGCCTGAGTCTTAGAAATTGGATGAGGATTTTAAGATCTAGAGTTATGACTCTTTTCTGTTTCCTCAGTGAGCCCTGAGAGAGAGAGAGAGAGAGAGAGAGAGAGAGAGAAATTCTTGGGGCCTTGTCATCAGTGGAATGAAAAGCCATTTTTTTCCTCTGTCTTTGTCTCTGTCTCTTTCTTTCTCCCACTCTGCTTCTTTCTCTGTCTCTCTTTCTTTGTCTCTCTGTATCTTTCTTTCTCTCTCTCTCTTTCTCTCACACACACACATGCATGCACATACACACAAACACACAGATTTCTTTGATAAAAAGATTTCTGGAGATATTTGTAGGGATAAGTTAGTTTTTCTTTGCTTGTTTGTACTTTAAATAATATTTTCTGTAGCCTGATGTGGATGTAGTATTTCTATAGGATCTTCTGAGTGGTTTGATCAGGTTAGGTAGGTTGTATGACTCCAGCTGAGCATTCTCCTTATGAATTTTTTTTTTTCCTCAGCTCTGGGTCAGACACTTCAACAGGTATGCTCAGATTTGAAAGTGACTCTCTTTCTGGGCCAAATAAGGCTTTCACCAAGGTTGGATCCTAAATTTTCTTCTGTTTGTGATGATCAGAAATAAATTACTCTGGTCATACAAGAGAGGAAGTAAATACATTGTCAAGAAAACAACAACTTGAAAATAATTCTGCATATAGATTTCTTCAATCTAAAGGAAATAATTTCTACCGAGTTACGTCATATTTTTTGCTTCATAGGAAATTTTAAAAATACTAGTAAAGGTAAATACTGTCATCAGTAAAATGGAAGGTCTTTTTACTAATACTTAGAAATAAATGAACTCCTTGACATCAAAATTATCTCATTTCTTTGGTTATCAATATTTGCTTTTATTGTGTAATTCTATCATACATGTTTCAGACTTACCTCAGCCACTATGCTGCTGAGATTTTTTTTTTGATTAGAGGAGAAAGAGGTTGAAGATAACATAAATGAATAAGTTTCTTGCAGCTGTGGCCAAGTATAGACAATACCATTCCCTATTAACAGAATTCTTTGGTTCATACTTTATGGCCATCTGAAGTTATTACATGCTGAACTGATGAAGCTATTGTCTGATTAGATAATATGCATTTGCTAAAGATGACAGATTATGCAAACTAGGAGAGCACAGTTCCATAATATCCAAAACCAAAGATGATATAAATGGCTTTTTGATGTGAACTATTTAACTATAATTTACTTGGAAATTTTTTAATAACAGTAGAAAAAAGTATAATGATTCTATCTCTGCTTTCATTTGTGCTTCTTAACTGGAATCATAGCTAAAATTTAAATTATAATTTTAGACTTAGTATGTTGAAAACACTAATGTGGCTATCCTGGAAATCAAAAATTTTTAAATTAATTTACACAAACACTAGTTTTGTAAGAAAATTGTGAAAAAAAAAAAGGAATCCATGATCATACGTGTTGGAAATGCACAAGCTGTATTTTTTCTTTATGTGTGAATTAGCATATCACAGGCTCTGATATGACCTGTAATAAACCTGTTTGAACCTTGTTTAATCTAACCTTCCCCAAATTTGACCACAGAATGCTTTATAGTGTGTTATATCAGCTAACATTCTATGAAAACTTGCATTCTGCATAAAAAACCTGGGGGTATATTGCTTCAGTGCTTAGAAAAGCTAGTTTCTGTTTTTTGTGTATGGCTGATAAAATAAACGTTGTCATCTTTACCTGTTTTATCCTATTCATATAGTAAACATATCAACTTTTCACTGACATACAACAAGACCCATGATGGAAAATTAGGTATGGATAATCATACTCATAAAAAAGGTGATTTATTTTAATTTCTAGATGGTTTTATTAAGGAAAATAAATATTAGAAAGATAAATATAAAACTAATATGGAATCATGAGATAGACACATTATTAATTTATAAATACATTTACATATACACATTATATGCCTAATATACTTATTTACATAATTCTACATTTTCAATGACATTTTACTGTAGAAGCCAAACTATAAGTAATTATGTGTCTAATTTTCACCTATTCCTTCTGATGACTTTGTGAATTTCAGAATACACTTAAAGACTCAGATATTTCAGAATGAAGTATAATTCCCTTCTTTTCAAAACCTTGTTTCTATCTCTACAGAACATATAGTTTTAGAAACAGAAGCTATAGAGATAGAATAATGCTTAACAATAATTTCATTTTCAATGAAACATCACAGCAGATGGAATGAAAAGAATCAGTTGGAGGAGGCCTCTTGCCAACATAGGTATATTCTCTGTGTGTGTGTGTGTGTGTGTATGTTTGTATTATGTGTGTGTGTGTGTGTATGTTTGTATTATGTGTGTGTGTATGATATATGCACATAGTACCAAACCAACTTGTATAGAAGAGCTTAGAGAAAAGCAATAAACTTTTCCTTATTAATTCAAAGTCCCAGAAACAAAATTTAAAAATTACTCAGTGATGAGTGAAGTAGAATGCAAGGATTAATTTTCTTTCTGTGGCACCAAAGCCATAATCTTTAATATTCTCAAAGTAGAATATTTTGGCATAAGAATCACTTGGATTTCCACTTCTGCATGTCATTAGTTGCTTAAATTTTGTCACTTTTTAATTTAGTTTCAGATCTAGATCATTACTTTCTTACACAGTTATCTGGAATTTTATCTTTTTAAAAACTGTAGCAAAATACACGTAAGAGAAAATTTACCATCTTAATCATTTTAAAGTGTACACAGTGGCATTAAGTACATTCACATTGTGTGCTTCATCACCACCATCTATCCACAGAACTCTTTTCATTTTGCAAAACTTGAAACTCTTGTCATTAAACAATAACTTCCTCTCTAGCCCCTGACCACTACCATTCTATTTTCTGTCTCTATGAATTTGACTACTTTAGCCACCTCATATGAGTACAATATCATACAAATTGTCTACTTTTTTCTTGAGTTGATTCTCATTTTATCCAAAGTTTCAACCCCTCTGGAGACCTCTTTTCTGGAGCCCATTGATCTGTTTTTGTTTGGATTGATTTTTCTCTAGGCCTGATTTGTATTAAACCTGGGCTTTCATTTTATAGAGGTGGTGGCAGGACTTTATATTTCAAGATATCTTCCTTTTGATCTTACTTTTTTTTCTTTTGCTTCATTGTCTTCTAGAATCTGGTTTTGCTGATGCCAATACGATCAGAAGGCATTTTGATTTTTTTTTCCTTTGTGGGGGACTTAAGACCTTCCTTTTTTTGGAAACATTTAGAATTTTAAAAACTTCTTAATGTTCTACAGTTTCACAGTAATATATCTACGGCTGAATATCTTTCAATGCCTGGACTCAGGTCGTTTATGTTTTATAGTGTCCTTTTACATTTGAAGAATTCTATCTTTTTTAAGCAATCTGTATTTTGTAATTTGTTTTCAGCATTTTAATTTTGTCTTTCTGGAAACATGGATTTTGGTTCCAATAGAATTTTTTTTTAAATATCTTTTTATCTTTCATATTTTTTCTCTCTCTCTGCCTTTTTACTCTAAATTCTGTAAGGGTTTTTGTAAGCTATTTTTCTTATAATTTTCTATACCAACAGTTATGTGCTCCTGGAGTACATTGTTCTCAGAATGCTGTTTGTTTTATAGATGCAATATTATTGTGAATGTATTTCATCATACTATTCAATTTTGAAAGTTATATATTTTCTATATTTTCCTAAACTATTTTTTTTTCTTCAGGGTCAGTTTTTCTATTTATTTTGGTCTTTGTCTTTCATGTGGCTATTTCTTATCATACTTAAGGAAACAAAGACTAAATATTTATCTAGTTTGGGTGCTCTTTGGGTGCACTAAAAAAAAAAGTGGTACTATTCTCTTCTTGGTCTCCCTTTCAGCAACAGTTCTGACTTGCAACTCTGTGTAGGTTAGCAGAGGAAGGGATGTATGTATTATTGGAATTTAAGATGAATTTATTAGTGGACTTTAGGATGAATAAGTAGAACACCCGACTGCCTTCCCACTATCATACCTCATCCTCATTTGCACATGCTCTTTTCTCGTAATAGCAAGTATTAAGCATAGTAGGGGGAGATAGGCAAAAATATATTGCATTCTAAACTGCCTAGTCACCTAAAAGCAAAGATAAATCAACAGGATTTGAGTCAAGAAGAGTTCTGGGAGCAGTGTTTTCTAGGGTATTCTCATATTTCTGTACTGTACTCTTTCAAGAAGTACTTGAATAAAGACCTGCATAAGCAATTTTTAAATTAAATATACCTATTGTGATTTAAAAATCTCAGAAAGTTATGAATACAAGTAACTTTCTTAACTTGATAAAGGCTATAATACTAAGATATTATTCTTAAAGAAAGGAAGACAAGGATACCTACTATTACCACACCTTCTTAACAAAGTAGGTGGTTCACATCAATACCTAAGGATAGAATACCTAATAACACAAAAAGAAGGAAGTATTGGAAGAAAAGATATAAACCTACTTTAAATTGCAGATTATAGCATCATATAGCAAATTTAAAAAATATCCAGAAACTACTAGAACTGATAAGAAAATTCACCACACTTGCTGGATAGAGAATGACTTACACAGCCAGTAACAGTTCTCAATACCAGCAGTGATCATTTTCAAAAGAGTAATGAAATAATGTACAACTCACCGTAAAAATAACGTTCCTAGGATTAAATAAGAAAAAACAATTTCATAAAGAGAATTTTTAAACTAATAATAGACATAGATAGTGGTCTGAATAAATGAAGAGCTATTCTAGGCACTTGAATGTGATGACTTTATATAGTCAAGATATCAGTTTTACTTTTCTTAATCTATAAATGTAACCCCACTTAAGATTCCAGTTGGATATTTTGAAGAAATTAATGATCTCATATAAATGTGTGTAAAAATAAAGGTATATGAAGAGCTTAAAAAAAGGAATAGAGAAGGGGAGAAATTCCAATACCATTTATTAAGACACACTGCAAATCTATATTAATAAAAACTTTGCGGTTTTGTCACAAAAGCAAGACAAATGGATAAGGAAACAGAAAATTCAGAGACAGATTAATGTATATGTGAAGACAATTTATTGTAAAGATGTCACTGCAACTCAATAGGTAAACAAAAATTATTTAGTTGACATACTGGGAAAACTGACAAACTTACTGATATGGTTTGGCTCTGTGTCCCCACCCAAATCTCATCTCAAATTGTAATCACCACGTGTTGAGGGAGGGACCTGGTTGGAGGTGATTGGATCATGGGAACAGTTTCCCTTATGCCATTCTCATGATAGTGTTATCACAAGATCTGATGGTTTAAAAGTGGCACTTCCCTCTTCATGCTCTCTCTCCTACTGCCTCGTGAAGAAGTGCCTGCTTCCCTTTCACCTTCCACCATGCCTGTACATTTCCTGAGGCCTCCCTAGCCACATGGAAATGTGAGTCAATTAAACCTTTTCTGCTTATAAATTACCCAGTCTCAGGCAGTTCTTTATAGCAGTGTGAAAATGGACCAATACATTTACCAGAGAAAATAAGATTAGATCCTTACAAAATACCATGCACAAAAATGGAATCTATATGGATTAAAGACCTAAATGGAAAGGTAAAACTACAAAGTTATTTGAAGAAAATATCAGTGAATACTGATTTTTTAATTAAAAAGAAATCAGATTCAGTGGGTACACTTGCATGTTTGCTGCATGAATATATTGCATAATGGTGGGGTTTGGTCTTCCATTGAATCCGTCATCCCAATAGTGAACACAGTATCCAATAAGTAGATTTTTACCCTTAACCCCTCCCTCCCCCCTTTTGGAGTCCTCAGTGTCTAAGAGAATACTGTTACAACCTAGAAAGTGGGGAAATACTTCTTACTAAAAACTCCAAAAGTAACGACTATAAAAAAAAAATCTAAGCTTAACTATTTTAAAACGAAGGATTTCTCTTCAACATTTGGCATCCTAGGAAAAGCTCAGTAGATGACAGAAAGAAGAAATATCTCCAATATTTAAAATTGGCAGGGACTCGGCCGGGCGCGGTGGCTCACGCCTGTAATCCCAGCACTTTAGGAGGCCGAGGCTGGCGGATCAAGAGGTCAGGAGATGGAGACCATTCTGGCTAACATGGTGAAACCCCGTCTCCACTAAAAATACAAAAAAAAAAAAAAAAAAAAATTAGCCGGGTGTGGTGGTGGGCACCTGTAGTCCCAGCTACTCAGGAGGCTGAGGCAGGAGAATGGCGTGAACCCGGGAGACTAAACTTTCAGTGAGCCGAGATCGCACCACTGCACTCCAGCCGGGGCGACAGAGCAAGGCTCCGTCTCAAAAAAAAAAAAAAAAAATTGGCAGAGACTCAAATATGGACTAAAGAAATTTATGATGTAAAGGAGAACAAAACAAGATATCCCAAAAGAAAATGAAAAAAGTATACAAAAGTGTTTTATAGGTCTATTAATTATTGCTTATTTTATTATTTTCAATAGAAATTCAACTTATTCCAGAAAGACTCATGTTCCCTCTTAAGACTCATCTATTCATTTTTATATTCAGAATATAAAAATGAATATATGTAGAATATCAAAATGAATGTTAACATTTTAAACCCTAAAGAATGACAATTATTCTAACAGACACAAAATAAAACCCCTCAAAAAGTGTGGCAATTATGTGACAAACACATAAGGCTCTGATTTTAATGATGAAGTTCTCTAAAAAGACTGGAGTTACAATTATCCAGTCATTTTTAAGGAAAGGATAAATTCATTTTATAAAACATATTGGCATGGGAAATAATGTAGTATCAGATTTCATCTAAGTGTAGAACTCACCATTTCCCCTCCAGGCTTAAGCAAATATTACATGAGTGAGGGCTCTTGTAAAATGTTATGTTTTGAAATAGATTTCATTAATGGCTTCTAGTGATAATTTATGTCTCATTTATACACAAGTCTTTTCTCATACTAATCATGGATAGCTTATTTGCATATAAATAGATTTCAGTATTTGCTGAAGCAAAGACCAAATATGCTTCTTTTTTTTTTTTTCCCCTCCTGGACATTGTTAAAAAGAAAAAAAAAGGAGGGGAGGGGGACATTGTGATAATTAGCAATCAGGATATATAATAATTTTCTTAATAAAAAATTTTTGTAGGCAACATTCTTTGGTGTTTTTATTGATATATTTCATGTCAAAGGTTGTGACCTCTATTAAAATTATAAAGAAAAACAATCTGCACAGTTTTTGCAGTGATATATGTTTTAAAAAGAGTATTTTGATATTGGTTGTTTAAATGTTTACTCTGAGTCTCTGGATACTGTCTCCTAATTAGGTTTTACAGTTTCTGATGTGTACCATGTTCTGTTTTAGAGAAGGTAAATGTAATTTTTGTAACTGTATTACTTAGCTAAATAAATTCTTTACTTCTGAGCTGTAACAAGTCATATGTTTATTGTATAAATATGTTTTGTTTATTTCAGTTAATAGTGTACAAATGCTAAGCTTTCGGTCATCATATAGTTAAAAATACCAAAATCTTAATTTTTTTTATTATAGAGTATACTTCCTTTCAAAATAAGTCTTATAATAAGAAGACCTTTTGAGTCTACTTTTATTTCAACTAACAATGGACATTAGTGAAGAAATAACAATTAACTCAATGTTTGTAAAAGATATCCATTTGATATTTGCTTCTTGACTTTCAGTATTTGAAATAGGATATGCTCCTGTATTGTTGCACTGTAAGTGAATAACCAACTTCCTCTTATGACACACAATATATCTGAGTAATTACTTGGGGAAATTAAGATAACAGCTGCTTTCTGGTAGATATGATGTCCATTAATATGTGTCTTTCTGACCAGCAGAGGTCACTCCGTGTAAAGTGAATAATGACTTCAGCTTTCAAAAAAGACAGCAAACATGACTGTTCTTTTTGAGCAATTCGTTTTTACTTGATTTCTGTTACTAGCAAAAAATGCTGTTTTCATCTCTTGCTATACGTGCTTGCCTAAATGAGTGAGGCTGTTCCTTGCAGTTGAAAGATTTTTCTAAACATGAAGGCAAAAGTATAATCCTGAAAGAAATGGTTAAGGCACTGTATTTAAATCTGTATGTTTTTGAATATTATACAGATGATTTCTAGTTAAAAATATGAGGGAGAAGATTGTCTCTTAGGGAAGACGTCACATTGCATTCTACCACAGAGAGGCAGCCTTCACCCAAAGATAGGATGTAGTGCTATTGGATTCTAGAAAAATAGCATTTAACTCTAGAATTTGTTTTATTGTTGTTTATAACAGGCTTTGAAAGTAGCAGTGTGTGGCAGCCTTGACAACTAGCAGTGTGGTAATATGGAGATTTGAAGACAACTTGATTTTTAGAATTGTGATATTTGTGCTTTCCTTAAATGTGTTTATACTTACAACTTTTAAAATATATGGGTAAAACAAAAATTACCTCTATTTTTGGTATGCTAGTGAATTAGTAATTAATTCAAAAAAAAATTCCCTAAATTTATCAACTATGCTTATTTATTCCATCTCCTAGACCCAGTTCACCTTTTAGAGAATTGTCATGCTGTGGTAAAAGCATAACATTGTCATTTGATTAATATGATATTTGTTTGGCAAATTTGATGGTTTTGGAGGTGCTGAGACATCTAATGGAGATTAAGAAGGCAGCATGAAGTAGTAAAAAGAGCTGTTAAAACCATAAAGTGAAGCCACAGCTCTGCTATTTAACTCTGTTTCCTGTGAAGTTTAAATAATAATTTTCCCCTTTCTACCCTCTCAGGGATATTCCAAGGATGAAAAGCAGGTACTTTGATCCTTACTCATTTTATAGCTTATGAAAGTTGTTTAACTTCTCTGAGCTGGTTTTTTTAATTTCTATTACAAAAGAGAAGACTAAAGGTGAGCATGATTTAGAGAATTAATCAAGGTCACATGGCTATAGAAAGCTTGAATTTCAATTTAGGTTTAAGATTTATTCTAGAAATAATAGGCTAAAATAACATAGAGATGAAAATATACTTGCAAGCATTGCCTCTTCAGTTATCATGAAGTAAGTTTGCCAATTTGGTCCAAGATTAAAATAGTATGACATCCACATAACAGAATTCATACTGAGTGAAGGATGTATACTGAAAAGAAAGTCTTTTTCCTAGCTTAATACTGCCAGCCTCATGTTAATCTCTTTCCTCCCAGGTAACAATTGCTCTAACATGTTTACAAATATTTATGTGATGTATCATCTAAATGCTATTTGCATATTATAAATAGAAATGCGACTTCAATCCATCTATTTCTTTTCATGGACAATTACTAAAAAGAAAGTAAAATGACAAGAAAATGGTTAAAATGCTTAAAGTCACAGAAGTAGATTCTAGGTAGCTTATAAATTGATTCTTCCTTTCTTGATTCAGTTCAGTTCAGCTCAATAAGCATTTATAGAGGCTCTACCGTAGGCAGGCACATAAGATTCAGATATATTTCAGAGAAAATTATAGTCTCATCCAGAATTTCGGAAGGTTTATTCTTTGTTTGGATCACTGGTTACCAAGATTATTTGAGAGAAAACTGATTTAAAGTATAAATATTTTTAAGAACAACAACACACTAAATTGTAGTTTAGAGGTCAAAACCAATGGGTTTTATTGAAATTGTTTTCTTGGTCCCACTTTCAGAGAATATGATTTATTATTTTGGGATGAATCCAAGGAATCTTCATTTTTACACTAATTGGGATGATTCTGATGTCTGTGGTCCATGAACAACATAAAATATATGATGCTGCATATGATTGTTTTTGTTTTTTAGTCTGATGTGTCATGCCCTACAACAAGTTCAGCCAGAGACCAGTGGAGTAACATTTCTAAAGCTATAGAAGGGTAGTGAATAAACCCTGTGAGCTGTAGGTACTAAAGCCAGATGAAGAATCCCTTAATTATTTGAAAGTAGACATTATTAATGTAAAAAATTCCACTGTTAGTTATCTTGGTTGTAATTAACCAGTGGTAGTCTTATCCAAAATGATTGAGACCAGAAGAGTTTCAGATTTCAAAGTTTTTGGATCTTAGATTTGCATTACTTATACTCAACAGTTCAACATCCCTAATCTGAAAATCCAAAATCTGAAATGTATCAATGAGTATTTTCTTTGAGCATCACGTTGATGCTTGAAAAGTTTCAGATTTTGGAGTACTTTGGATTTCAGATTTTTGGATTAGGAATATTCAGCCTTAGTTGATGAGAAGCTTTGAAAGGGAAGAATGCTGCTGAATTCTCACAGTAGTCTGCTGTCTCTTATTCTAGTAGGACATAGGAACAAGGTTAAGAATATTTACATTACATGATTACAGGATCATAGTGACCAAAGAATACTGTAAGGGTGAAGAAAAGCATTCTTATTTAGATTTAAATCTATATATAGATTTTGGTTCACTAAAAAGGAGGACAAAGGTTACTGAAATATTCAATGGTTAATCTAATAGTTCTTTTTTAATATCCAATGAATGTAAAAAAATTTTGATGACATCAAAGCATGAAAAGTATTGTATCATTCATTTCATCTATAACATATATTTGCTTTAGGCTACAGAATTTGTTCATTTAAGTTGTAAATGAAATATTAATCTTTGCTTAATTGGCTTCTCACTAAATAAATAATGTAGGCTCCTCTTTCTGGAAACTCTAAACTCTTTGACTCTAGCTTTTTCCTAGCAGACCTATACAGGTAAAGATGTTAGCAGCAGATTCAAATCCAAACATATTTAGAAACCTTACAATTTTTAACAAGTTGAGAAAATGGAAAATAGTCACAATTTAAATGGTATAAATTAGTGATTTTCTTTAATGTTTGTGAAGAATTTAGTTTATTTAAATCAAGTGTTTTAATTATTTTTAAAATAAAGTTGGTATTTTATTTAAAGGATTTTATGTGACTTCATCTGTGATGTGACATGTTTTAGCATTATCCTGATTTGTACATGTAATATTCCCAGAGATAAGTATCAGTCTTGACAGAGGGAATGCCTTGCTAAATAGAGTGGTGCTAATTTAGCCCTGAGAATGGTGATCTAAGGGAACTTCAAATATATGTTGAGACTTATTCTACTTTTTTGCCTTGATAATTTTCTTGGTAATATGGCTCCAAACCTTTATGTAAGAACTGTGAAGTATAAAACCAAAATTTAATTATGAGAATTTGCCACTAATATTTCAGGACAATTGTGAAGTATTCTGTTTACCTCGAAGACAACTTCATATTTTATTATTTGGTAATTCTGTTCATTCTTACAAATAATTCATGTGTTACATATTTATGTACTGCCTACTCAAAGTGGTTTTAGGTGAAGGGTGATTATCCTTCCTTCCAGTTGGTTCCTGTAATTCACACAGAAACTGTATTACACCCACATTTATGACTGGTGAAAGTCATTCAAATTTATCTACAATGTATTTACGTTATCACAGAGTGGAAGTATCTTTTTTATAGCAGCAGTTGAAAGACTTCACTTGACAGGGCTTATGGATGTACATTTTGATAAGTATGTATTAGAGGTACACAGATAAACAGACATTGCTGTCTGAAGAGATATTTCAGTCAAGCCAAATCCATATGACTTTGTATTTATATGTCATAACAGTGACAGCCCTATAGCTTAATCAGTGCTAGGAACACATGTTTTAACAGGTGCATGCTTTAGGTAGATGCCAGGAGATGAATTTCTCAGTCTACTTAGTTTGGAGTGCATTAAAATAGTTCATTTCTTAGGGGCTTTGTACACAATAACTTCCAGATACTCTGTAATAACTTTAAGATATCCTTGAACATGTAAAATCTTATTTCTTAAAATATGAAATACCCTTTTGGTTTTTGAACAGATAATTTAAAGGGATGGCAAAAATAAACATGGACATTTTGTTTAAAATTCGTGTAGTATTGGGACTCTTTTTTCTCTTACCTATAGCTCAATTTAATAGACTGTGCAGTTCTATGGTCATCTGAAGTGCCATTTAATCAAATCTAGTCTTAGAGGTAGTGGAAGAGCATTAAACCTAAATGTGTCTCTGGCATTGATGATGATACTTCTTTGTGTACTAGTCTTTTCTCTTTGCTATTACTTCATTTGTAAAGCTGAAGAATAAAATCAGTATGAGAAAATGTGTTCCATAAATGTATAAACTTTCTAAATGACATTTTAAAACCATGAAATTTCAATGGACAATTTCCTAACTGATTTTTAACCCCTTTTTAAAAATTGTACTTTAAGATCTGGGATACATGTGCAGAACGTGCAGGTTTGTTTCATAGGCACCACCATGGCACGTGGCCATAGGCACCACGTGCCATGGTGGTTTGCTGCACCCATCAACCCATCACCTACATTAGGTATTTCTCCTAATGTTATTATCCCTCCCCTAGCCTTCCACCCCCCACCCCCACAGCCTCCAGTGTGTGATGTTCCCCTCCCTGTGTCCATGTGTTCTCATTGTTCATCTCCCACTTCTGAGTGAAAACATGTGGTGTTTGGTTTTCTGTTCCTGTGTTAGTTTGCTGAGAATAATGGTTTCCAGCTTCATCCATGTCCCTGCAAAGGACATGAACTCATCCTTTTTTTATACCTGCATAGTATTCCATGGTGTATATGTGCCACATTTTCTTTATCTAGTCTATCATTGATGGGCATTTGGGTTGGTTCCAAGTCTTTGCTATTGTGAACAGTGCTGCAATAAACATACGTGTGCATGTGTCTTTATAGCAGAATGATTAATAGTCCTTTGAGTATATACTCAGTAATGGGATTGCTGGGTCAAATGGTATTTCTGGTTCTAGATCCTTGAGGAATTGCCACACTGTCTTCCACAATGGTTGAACTAATTGACACTCCTACCAACAATGTAAAAGCATTCCTGTTTCTCCACATCCTCTCCAGCATCTGTTGTTTCCTGATTTTTTTAATGATCACCATTCTAACTGGCATGAGATGGAGATGGTACCTCACTGTGGTTTTGATTTACATTTATCTAATGACCAGTGATGATGAGCTTTTTTTCATATGTTTGTTGGCCACATAAATGTCTTCTTTTGAGAAGTGTCTGTTCATATCCTTCGCCAACCTTTTGACAGGGTTATTTTTTTCTTGTACATTTGTTTGAATTCTTTGTAGATTCTGGATATTAGCCCTTTGTCAGATGGGTAGATTGCAAAAATTTTCTCTAATTCTGTAGGTTGCCTGTTCACTCTGATAATAGTTACTTTTGCTGTGCAGAAGCTCTTTAGTTTAATTAGGTCCTATTTGTCAGTTTTGGATTTTGTTGCCATTGCTTTTGGTGTTTTAGTCATGAAGTCTTTGCCCATGCCTATGTCCTGAATGGTATTGCCTAGGTTTTCTTCCAGGGTTTTAGTATGCTCATATATGGGATATTTAATTTTTAGTAGATTTGTGTCACCTTCATATGAAAAAAGTATTCATAGTAAGAATGATTACATTATTTATAATTTTAGCTCATTATAAAGCAAACAACTTATGAAATCTGAGATTTTGTAGCTTTATTTATAGAAGTTTTTTTTTCTGAGGCCACTCTAATGTACCAAGATGTTCATATTGAAGGGACAGAAACATAGGTTTTTATTTTAAATTACTCACTGTTCCTGTTATGTTCCATTTTTGCCCTGTAGCATTGGTTGACATTTCATAGAGACTGAGTTGTCACAGGGCTGGAAAATATGCAATTATAAGAATCACCTACTCTTGAATTTCCCATTATACACTAGCCATGATTCAGGCAGACTTTTCATAGGTGTTTGATTTGGAATGAGAAGTTTTCTTCCTTATTACCTGTGATTAAAATGTGACATTTTGGTATCTAAAAAGAAGATAGTTTCTGCATAATCTAGCTATGAATGAGAGCTGATGAAGCAATGTAAGTCTTTGACCTGTATCATATAAGCAATAGCATATGTAATTGAAAATGTATTTCAAGACTAAGTATGATAAGGCTTTGTTTTATTTAAAAAATATTCTGTAGCTTAAAGCAGGCTAAGTGCTAAAATGGAGCAAGATGCATATTGAGAAGTTTTGCCTCACTTAATGTTCCTCAAAGGAATTCCAATAAAAAGAAATCTACAATTACATTTGAATAATTTCTTTTCTTTTAATGAGTTATAGCTGTGAATGTAAATATTTATCAGTTGCTGTAGCCTGATGGTAAGGGTAGAGAATAGACTATATTTCTTCATAATTGAAAATGAAAATTACAGTTACAATAGTGTTTGGATAATAGCCTTACCTGTTGCATTAACCTTTATATATCTTTACGGTTAAAACTACAATTTTCAATTAACTGACTATGGAATTATGATGTACCCAGCTTCTGGTGATAGTTTGTGTTTTTTTAATTCTGAATACTATGGTCGATGATATATTTTCCCTTACATAGTTTGTGTTTGAATGTCTGTCAGTAAAGATGTTATGTATGTATATGTGCATTATTCCTCTGCACTATAAATATAAATTATATTATTCCAAAGTTGTGCATGCTATTGTTTTATAGTAAGATGGCATTTGCAAAAACACTTTCCTTATCACTTGGTATATCAAAACACATTAGCTTCCCACAAGGAACTTTAGATAGCTATATCTTAATTGAACTAATATTAAAAATGACTGGGCTAGAGCCTGGATGTCCTCCCTTATTTTAAATACCAGCTTTTCACTTGATGTATCAAAACACATTAGCTTCCCACAAGGAACTTTAGATACTATGTCTTAATTGAGCTGATATTAGAATGATTGGGCTAGAGCCTAGATGTCCTTCTTTGTCTTAAATTTTGAAATGTCCTATATTAATGAAGCTAAAAACATTAAAAATGTTTCATACTAACCTATTAATTTAAAAATATTTTAGATTTTAAAGCATCAACAAGAATGTATTTGCCAAAGTAGGTAGATTGAATTGCATGCTTATTAGGGAAATACAGATAAATTAATTTTGTATTTTATTAATATCATTATATCTACTCTTCTATTTCACTGTTTATATTTATTGTCAATATTCTGTGGCCAAAGGTTTTATTTTCTCTCCCCATACATTGCCTCTCTGATGCCCCCAATCTAATTTCATTCACTACCATTCTTCTGAAATTATATTCCACATATTCTACAGTGTCCTTCCTAAGTCTTCTCTCCTCTTGAAACATTTGATATAGTAGACCTCTAACATTCTCTTGAAACACAAGGTTTGGCATGTGATAGACACTCAATAGTATTGTTTAAAATATGAATGAAGAAAAAAAATTACGTCTCCCTATCTTCTCTCTGTGAAGTCATACTAGCTAGGTTCCATTCACTAGACCACAGGTCCCGTACCCTGGGCCAAGGACCTATACCTGTCAATGGCCTGTTAGAAATCAGACTGCCCAGCAGGAGGGGAGCAGAGGGCAAGTGAGTATTACCGCCTGAGCTCCACCTCCTGTCAGATTAGCCTGACATTAGATTCTCATAGGAGCTCGAACGCTATCCTGAACTGCACATGCAAGGGATCTTGGTTGTACACTCTTCATGAGAATCAAGAATCTGCCAGAATTTACTTTCTAAACTACCACTTTTCATGACTATTTAATCTAAAACTTTTAAGAGCTACCCATTGTCTATGAAAGTGGTTCTCAAAAGTTTTTAGAGATGTTGTGAATAAAAATAATTCAAACCTTTTCAACTTGGGCTTTACCTACAAATTATCCTCTGGTCACTTCTGTAAGAATTTGGGGGCATTGAAGAATACAAGTTGGAACCCATTGGCTTAAGTACAAAAATCCTTATTTAGGATTAGGCCTTGTTCCATGCAAACCATCTGTTTACTACATTTGATTGCTCCATGTGCATTCCATCTTTGCGTCTTGATTTCCGTAATGTTTACTGCCCAGAATGCTATTAAAGCACCTTTCTGCTTCTTTAAATCCCATTTGTATTTCCAAGTGCAGCTCAAGCCCTAACTCCTCACTGAACATGTGAATGAATATTTAGGATATAAGAGTTAAGCATCTTCATTCATGATATAAAAGTATATTGAGGGAGTACTATTTTCTCCTTTTTGGAAATTATTGCTGTAATATATTTAATTATTAGGTAAACAGATGCCACTATCTTATGCTTATTATATTTCAAAGACATAAACCAAATGATTTTAAGCATTCAAAAACAATGGGTTCAAGATTGTTTCATGCTAATTTTATACATTAAGAGCACAAACCTAATATTCATATGACCAAAATCAATAATTTTAAAATATACTTTATCATAATTTTTACATTTGTTGTCTCTCAGGTCCTGCAGCATACAATCCTGTTTTAAGGAAATCTTGCCCCATACCCTTATTTGTGAAAGCATCAAAGCGCTTTGAAGAGTCCAAAGAGATTACTCCAGGCCCAGCAACATATGAGGTTTGTCAATATTTCCTTCTTAACAGTGACACAAGAATAGAATTAATTTCCAGAAAGTACTACAAATGTATATATTAAAGTCCTTTCCATATATTTTATTCACATTGCTGATTAATGAAAATATTTTGACTAAGGAGATTTTTGAAGATGTGGTCTGACATTTAAAAAGAATTATTTAAGAATTTAAGAATTATTTAAACAACTTTTCTATCTCTAAATATGCTTTGCAGTATTCATATATATAATTTATTTATATTACTACAAATATTAAAGTTCACTTGCTTACATACTTGTTTGTATTCATACATTGAAATCTCTTAGTATTTATTGAAATAATTATTTATCAGAGAGCTCACAAGAAAGCCCTGTGGATCAAATAAAATTGTGTGTTGCTCTTTTATTTTCTTTTAATGAACATGGATGCTGTATTTAAGTTCATAATAAATAAAGGTGTCTTTTAACCTATGGACCTTCTGATCATAACCTGAAAGATTTTAGAAACTGTGTTCACAATAGCCCTTTATTGCCCTTTAGAGAATTAGAATGAAATAGGTTCCCCATTCCTACCCTACTAACTATTGAAAGTAAAATATTTTATAGTGATTTGTAACAATTAATTTAAGAGTTAATTCTGAGTGCAAACCAAAATGAATGTTCTTTTTGGGGCTAATGACAAGTTTATTTATATTAAATACATGTTTTTCTCCTTACTTAAAATGTCACAATCTAAGGCCAGGCACAGTGTCTCATGCCTGTAATCCCAGCACTTTGGGAAGCTGAGGCGGGCAGATACTTGAGGTCAGGAGTTTGAGACCAGCCTGGCCAACATGATGAAACCCTGTCTCTACTAAAAATATAAAAATAATCCAGGCATGGTGTCATGCACCTGTAGTCCCAGCTACTCGGGAGGCTGGGGCAGGAGAATCGCTTGGATCTGGGAGGCAGAGTTTGCAGTGGGCCAAAATTGCACCACTGCACTCCAGCCTGGGTGACAGAGCGAGACTCCTTCTCAAAAAAAAAAAAAAAAAAGTAAGTAAATAAAAATAAAATGTCACAATCTAAATACTTTTCAGCATTCCATCAAAGGAGAAAATAAAACAAATGAAAATGAGTAATCAAAGAATTGTTATCTTGTTGGCTGTTGATTCCTCCAAAAGACAAAGACTAATGCCTGCTGGTTAAGCAAAGCTAATTTTATTAGACTTACTTCAGAAAGGGAGAATCTCTTGAGAGTATTAGTACTATTTTCGAAGGTGGAAGTCAAGGGTGGGTATTTGTATGGTTTTAGGATCTATGCTAGGTGACTTAAGGCAAGTCTTGTAAGTGGGGAACTGATTAGGACTGGGCAAAGTTTATGACGTTTGTTTACTTTAGATTGATGAGCATAGTGAGGGAAGGTCTTTAAGTATTGATTAATAAGGTATTGGTCTTGATAAGTTGGGTACTTTAGTTGTTCATAGTTTGATGATATTAAATCATATTACATCTTTAGTTGAGCAATTTCTCTCCTTTAAAAAACTCATTTTAATGGTATCCACAAATAATAAATGTCAGCCAATCTAATGGTATCCTGTTTCATTTTGTGATGCATTCTTCGTAAAGGATGTTCCCACTAGTCTTTCTAGTATTTAAGATATTCTTGCTTTTTCTTTCTTAAGATTTTATAAATTTAATATTATATATTTATACTTTATGATAGATGTTTATTATGCAAAATTATTTCCCATGTCAGAGAAAACATTTATGGGTTTTATATTGTTGTTTGTTAAGGTATTCTTGAAATTTCAAACTATTACATCCTATATTTACTGAACTTCAAGGTAGCTTTTCTGTTGAGAACTGAGTCTGTAATTTTGTTTTTGTCTTCTCAACACCAATTTATTTCCTTGAATAATTAAAAACCTTTTTCAATAAATACTTTTTTCATAATTTTCCTTCTTTAAAGAAGTTACTTTTAAGTTGATGGGTTGATAAATTACTAGGTCTCTTTATTATTAACTTGTTCTTTTATTTTAATTTGACAGTCTCTCATGACTTTAATAAGTTTAAGTTGGTGACTCTTGAGAACATATTTGCTGTAAACTTTTTACGTTTTTTAACAGGAAAAGATAATTCTAGAAATGCATGATATTGATTTAGAATTGCAATTCAGTTATACTTGAAAATTACTTAGCTGTATGATCTGCCATTGAGATAGTTATACATTTTTAATGTCTTATGTCCACAAAGGATCCCCAACTGTCCAATGCTGGTGGTCCATACAATTATATTTGCAAAAATCTGGAGGCTTCTTAAATTGTACACCTATATTTGTAATGTCTGCTTGCTATTTTCATTTTTTTGTAAATTATCTCTGGAGTTCCCCAGGTAGATTTAGTTCTCTCTCCATTTTTGATGGGTGGAGGAAGGTCAGAGTTGCTTTTGGAATATATCTTACTTTGCCCATCTTATTTCAATTACTAGCTAAGCTGTTTGTCTTTGCTCCTTTTAGTTATTGATATTTATTGGATTACTATCATTGACCTTTTTGAAGATCTAATAAAAGCTAGGGAGAAAATGTGTGTATACTCATAAAAAATGTGCATACAATTTTAGAAGGTTTATTAATCTATAAAAGTTCACTTATAATTTCAACTGAGAACTCTCAATATTACATTATGAGCTTCATGAAGGCAATGATTTATTTAATTGTATATGATTCAGGTTCCACCCACAGAATCTGGCACCTAATACTATATTAATAAATGTTTATTGAATAAATTAGCAAAATGGAAAATCAGGATTTTCTTTTCATAAATCACTAATTTTTATCTAGACATAAATTTTTCCTCATTGACTTAGTTCTCAGTGAAAAGAATATGTGTATATTCATTTAAAATAACAGTAAATTTTATTGATTCATTCACATTCTCTTGTTGAATCAGTCTCTTGACCAAAAAACTGTTTTTTTAAGGTTTAGATAAGGCTTCAAATACAATGATCGAGTCAAATATACTGATTTTTTATTTGCTTCAAATATATTGATTTT
The DNA here is from genome assembly GCF_000001405.40 of Homo sapiens. Taxonomy (NCBI): domain Eukaryota; kingdom Metazoa; phylum Chordata; class Mammalia; order Primates; family Hominidae; genus Homo; species Homo sapiens. Next base: position 97,709,670 of record NC_000004.12, on the reverse strand, counting down.
CTGAAATTTAAATTATACAGTGACTATGTGAGAATATTTTAAAAAGCTAAATAGAAGAAACTTCAATGAATTTAATGTCATAAAATCCTTTAAATATTAGAAAAGATTTAAATATATCTCTTAAAAAAGCAAAAATTCTGCTGAAATTAATTGAAGTTCAATAACAATTCATTTTATGAGTATAATTTTTAATTTTTGCAGGTTACATAATTGCTTGAAAAATCTCAATTAGAGATTAATTTCAGAGTGAATTTTTAATAGCAGAATTGGGTAGGACAATATAAGTGAGATAAAATATTAACATGTATAAATCCAGAACATGTTGAGAATTGGAATCACACTGTAGGTTTAGTTTATTACTTATTTTCAGTTCTAAATTTAAAAATTGAGATTCTTATTGTTTATTACTAT